>NW_014040929.1:202694-405389 GCF_000001405.40 Homo sapiens | reverse complement strand
AAGCTTAGCACTGTGCCTGCCATCATGTCATGGTAGAAACTAAGCAGCATCCCCACAGCCTTTCTTCCCTTCTTCCCTTTAGTTGTAGTGTTCCCTGAAATTTAGCTGTGTCAGCTGAAGAATGATGAGGTTCATACACTTGGAAAGGAGAGCTTTATTTCTCATAAGGGGTTGCAGCCTGCAGGTGGTCTATTCTGACAAGCTCAGAAGTGTAGCCTCTGGCCAGAAGCCAAAAACAGGCACTTTGAAGGTGGGAAGATGAAGACAGGGGTTTATGCTGAATGGGGTGGCCAAATATATATATTCAACAGGTTACAGGAGGAGCTATGAATATTCACAAAGGGGAAACGTGTGCATGCATAGTAGGCCAACATATGCACATGCATCCCATGTTCATCTGGGGTGAATATTTAAATGTATTACAATTTAACATTTAAACACATTACAATTAGGCCCTATACATCAAAAGGTGAAGCAGAGGGTTGGGTGCAGTGGCTCACACCTGTAATTCCAGCACTTTGGGAGGCTAAGTCAGGCAGATCACTTGAGGTCAGGAGTTCAAGACCAGCCTGGCCAATATGACGAAACCCCGTCTTTACTAAAAATACAAAAATTAGCCAGGCATGGTGGCAGGTGTCTGTAATCCCAGCTACTGGGGAGGCTGAAGAAGGAGAATCGCTTGAACCTGGAAGGCGGAGATTGCAGTGAGCCGAGATCCCACCACTGCACTGCACCCCAGCCTGGGAGACAGAGTAAGACTCTCTCAAAAAACAAACAAACAAAAACAAAAGGCGAAGCCGAGGTCATGAGGGCCCTCAGTGTGCAAACTCTGTAGACTGGCCAGAACCACTCTGTGACTGATAGTATCTTATCACGAAGGAATGCTGGTCAGTTGTGTCAAAATCACAAAACAGGTAGCATCGGGCAATTGGTTGATATCAACAGTGGAATGAGCCTTTCAAAAAGGCTGGTTTGGCTGGGCATGGTGGCTCATGCCTATAATCCCAGCACTTTGGGAGGCAGAGGTGAACGGATCATTTGAGGTCAAGAGATCGAGACCATCCTGACCAACATGGTGAAACCCCGTCTCTACTAAAAATACAAAAATTAGCTGGGCATGGTCGTACGCACCTGTAGTCCCAGCTACTCGGGAGGCTGAGGCAGGAGAATCGCTTGAACCCAGGAGGCGGAGGTTGCAGTGAGCTGATATCATGCCACTGCCCTCCAGCCTGGCAACAGAGCGAGACTGTCTCAAAAACAAACTAACAAATAAAAAACAAAACACAAAAGGCTGGTTTCTGTTCAACCCTCAGGGAAGAAGAACTAATGGAGGTTAGTGAGGGAGGGGGTGATATTATTAGGCTGTGTCCCCACCCAAATCTCATCTTGAATTGTAGCTCCTATAATTCTCACGTGTTATAGGAAGGACTTGGGGGGGATAATTGAATCATGGAGGCGGATTCACCCATACTGTTCTCATGGTAGTAAATAAGTCTCACAAGATCTGATTTTTTTTTTCTTGAGCTGGCTTTGTTGCCCAGGCTGGAGTACAATGGTGTGATCTCAGCTCACTGCAACCTCTGCCTCCCAGATTCAAGTGATTCTCCTGCCTCAGCCTCCCAAGTAGCTGGGACTACAGGCGTGCACCACCACACTTAGCTAATTTTTGTATTTTTAGTAGAGACGGGGTTTCTCCATGTTGGCCAGGCTGGTCTCGAACTCCCAACCTCAGGTGATCTGCCTGCTTCAGTCTCCCAAAGTGCTGGGAATACAGGCATGAGCCATCGCGCCTGGCCAAGATCTGATGATTTTATAACGGGGGACCCCTTTCACTTGGTTCTCATTTCTCTCTTGCCTGCTGCCATGTCTCTACTAAAAATACAAAAATTAGCCAGGCGTGATGGCATGTGCCTATAGTCCCAGCTACTCAGGAGGCTGAGGCAAGAGAATCGCTTGAACCCGGGAGACAGAGGTTGCAGTGAGCTGAGATCACGCCATTGCACTCCAGTCTGGGTGACAAGAGCAAAAATCCGTCTCAAAAAAAAAAAAGGATGGGGATTGTGGAGTGGTGAGGAGAAATGGCAGGGAGCTGTGAGAAGAAGGGGCTGAAACTGTCTGTCACCTATCCATTAGCCATCCCCACTTCCTGTCTAATACAGCCTTGAGTTTGTTGGCATCTCCTCCCATTCCCAAGTCTGGAAGGAAATCCTGATGGTTTAGATATCAGGGTGATCCTGGTTCCTCTTGCCAGTGTGCATGTGACTCAGCTCTGATCCGTGACTCAAAAGGAGAAGCCCTTACGGTGGCTTCTGGGAAATGCTCTCAATGCAGAGACTGGGATCTGTGTTCATCAAGCCCTGTCTTGTTTTCCTTCTGGGCACACAGAGCCTGACTACACTTCCAAGCCTCCTCTGCAGTTCAGTAGAGAATGTGGGCAGGAGTGACGTGTTACGTTTCTGGGGCTGACCCACAAATATCTCCCCCATAACTCTCCATGCCCTCATCCCTCTCACCTGCTGGACTGATCCAGTGGAATATTATGAGGCCTGGGAGGATGGTGGGGCCACTAGATGGAAATAGCCTGGATCCCTAAATGACTGCGTGGAGTAGAGCATCTGCCCAGGCAGCCTGGGCAATAACAGGAATGAGAAGTAAGCTTTTACTGTGTGTCCCCATCTTGCCCACAATAAAGCCTCTTGCCCAGAGCTCCCTGTGTTCCCTCTGCCTCCTGACCTACCCTGGTGAGTCCCTGTGTGGTCTCCATAGTATGGCATGTCCCCTCCTCTTGGAATTTGTAAGTACAACAACCTTCCTAATAACTGTCATCTCAGGATCTCTTGGTTTTACTATACCCAAATAATAATAAAGCCTGTGTTAAAATATTGTCCCAGGACCACAGGCCCTTGTATACTGTTCAATGCACACATCCGGATGCCTTTCCCAAAAGTGGGTACCATGTGGAAGAGGAGATGATGCAGAGAGGCCTGCAGCCTCAGATCTGAGGCTCAGATTCCTCTCCTCCTCCCTCACCCCTCCTTTCTCATCTCTAGCCCAGACCCACCTAACTGAACAGCCAAGATATGGTGGTGATCATTTGGAGCCTTGTCCAGAATCCAGACACAGCTGCAGTCCTGCACATCACCCCACCTGGCACTGTGAAGATCTGGCTGTGTCTCAAAAAAACCCCACCAGATCTGGCCGGGAGCAGTGGCTCATGCCTATAATCCCAGCACTTTGGGAGGCCAAGGTGGGCAGATCACTTGAGGTCAGGAGTGCGAAACCAGCCTGGCCAACATGGTGAAACCCCGTCTCTACTAAAAATACAAAAAAAAAAAAAAAAAAAAAAGCAAGGTGTGGTGGTACACGCCTGTAGTCCCAGCTACCTGGGAGGCTGAGGTGGGAGAATCGCTTGAACCCGTGAGGTAGAGGTTGCAGTGAGCCGAGATGACACCATTGCACTCCAGCCTGGGCGACAAAGCAAGACTCTGTCAGAAAGGAAAGAGAGAGAGAGAGAAAGAAAGAAAAGGAGAAACCACCAGATCACCCACAAATGGACAGGAAGCAGAGAAGGGCTTTGGCCAGGCGGAGGTTGGTCTCTGCTCTGCCACTCTTTGCCTGGAAAACCCTGAAAAGGTATTTTTTCCCTCTGAGCCTGTTTCCCCGTCTGTAAACTGTTTCCCCATCTGTAAACAAAGAGAGGTGATGATATTCAAGAGGCTTAAAAACAGCACAGTGCGGCCGGGCATGGTGGCTCATGCCTGTAATCCCAGCACTTTGGGAGGCTGAGACAGGCAGATCAGCTGAGGTCAGGAGTTCAAGACCTGCCCAGCCAACACAATGAAACCCTGTCTCTACTAAAAACATGAAAAGTAGCCGGGTGTGGTGGCAGGCACCTGTAATCCTAGCTACTTAGGGGACCATGGCAAGGAGAATCAGTTGAACCCGGGAGACAGAGGTTGCAGTGAACTGAGATCGTGCCATTGCACTCCAGCCTGGGCAACAGAGCAAGATTCTGTTTCAAATAAATAAATTAATTCATTAAATAAAATAAACAACACAGCCCAACCAAGCAGAATGGGGTGGGGTGGGGGTCTTGAGCCATGAACAATCTGGGCCGAGCTGTCCCGCATTGGTGGATGATGACAAGGACTAAGTGAAATTCCTGGGTCCGGGGTGAGCCACTGTGATGATTCTCACCCAGGTCACTGTCCAGAGGCTGCATTCTTGGCCAATTCTCTTGGAGGTCCGCCAGCTCCTCGTGGCACCAGCTGGGAAGAGGAAGGAGGGAAGGAGATGGGCAGGAGAGGAGGTGGAAGAAGGGCGGGTTTCATTCTCAGGCTCTGAAGCCCAGGGCTGGTGAGGCAGGGGTCGGGCACTCACTCAGTAAGTCACAAAGCAGGTCTGGGAGCCTGCGAGGGTCCCTTCTCCCCAACATGTCATTGCCACAGTGCTGCAGATCCCAGGCGTCCTCTGCAGGACCAGGGAGTAAGGGAGGCACCAGCCCCGGGCCACACACCCTTACTGGCCGGGCTGTGCCTGTCCCTGCTACTTGGACTTAGTAGCCTTGACCCTGTCCTTGGGAAAGGCTTTGAGCCCTTCCATGATTACATCATCATCCCTGGAGGAACACTGCAAAGTCTTAGCTCCCCTCCTTCCAGTCATCCCTGCCAGGCTCTGGCTGCCCCGTGGTCACCCGGCCACACTCCCAGACTTCTCCAGGGCAGTAAAGAACTCAAGCTAAGTCTTGAAGAGGTAGAACCTAGAATGATAATTTTCAATTTTTAGATCATGACCAACGGATAAAAGTCACAACCAGCACAATTTTTAAAAAATGAAATTCAATAGAAAACATCAGAGTGCACTGCACACAGCAACGGGTAAACATTGCTGCAGAAATTCTACTTTCAGGTGTATTGATTGTTGTGTAAAATACATTTCTTTTTTTTTTTTTTTTAGATGGAATCTTACTCTCTCACCCAGGCTGGAGTGCAATGGCACAATCTCAGCTCACTGCAATCTCTGCCTCCCAGGTTCAAACAATTGTCCTGCCTCACCCTCCCGAGTAGCTAGGATTACAGTCGCCCGCCACCACACCTGTCTAATTTTTGTATTTTTGTAGAGACAGGGTCTCACCATGTTGGCCAGGCTGGTCTTGAACTCCTAACCTCAGGTGATCCACCCACCTCGGCCTCCCAAAGTGCTGGGAGTACAGGTGTGAGCCACCGCACCCGGCCAGAATGCATTTCTTACTCAGACTATGGTTACAAAATGTAGAGAAACATTGGCCTTGAAGTTCATAGCACATACCCAGAAAGATTTTGCAACCTTCTGAACCTATTCAGATTCCGCACGCCATCTTCAGGGAGCGGCACTCTTATTTCACCAGCTGCCAGACCCAAGAGCCTGGCCTTGTCCTGGACTCCTGTCTCTCCCCATTTCTCACACCAAATCCAGTCCAGCAGCAAATCCTTTTATCTTTCCTTCAAAGGACATTCAGAACACGCCTGACTTCTGCCATCATCCCTCAGACAGGATCATCCCGCAGCTGGGTTATCACTCCTCCACCTTCGAGACAGCAGAACCCTAAGAGAGCGCACTGCACATAACAGGTGTTAGGCTGGGCGTGGTGGCAAACACCTGTAATCCCAGCACTCTGGGAGGCTGAGGCAGGAGGATCACTTGAGCCCGGGAGTTCAAGACCAGCCTGGGCAACATAGTGAAACTCTGTCTCTATTAAAAAAATAAAAATAAAAAAATTAGCTGAGTGTGGTGGTGTGCACCTGTAATCCCAGTTACTTAGGAGGCTGAGGCAGTAGGAATGCTTGAGTGTAGGCGTTGGAGGCTGCAGTGAGCTATGATGGCACCACTGCACTCCAGCCTGGGCAACAGAGTGAGACCCTGTCTGAAAGAAAGGAAGAAAGAAAGAAAGAAAGAAAGAGAGAGAGAGACAGAGAGAGAAAGAAAGAAAGAGAGAGAAAGAGAGAGAGAAAAAAGAAAGGAAAGAAAGAAAGAAAGAAAGAAAGAAAGCAAGAAAGAAGGAAAGAAAGAAGGAGAAAGAGAGAGAGGGAGGGAGAGAGGGAGGGAGGGAGAGAGGGAGGGAGGGAGGGCTGCATGCAGTAGGCGCTCATCTGTGGATTGACTGGTGGCAGGGCTGGGCTTGGAGATTGCTTGGCCAGCCTCCTCCCTCTGTCCCCCTCCAGCCTGCCCAGAGCCTGTTATTTGATCTCCCCCAACATGGGCTCCTCGCCTCCCCTCCTCCAGGTCTCCAGACTCTGAGGTTTGTAAGCTGAGCCTGGCAGCCACACACGGTGCCGCCCCTGGGCTGGTAGATGACAGATGAGTTGCATCCCCCTTGCACTCTGTTGACATTATGAGAGCTGATCCCTCCCAGGAACAATCTACAGCCTCCCCAAGGGGCCCCCTGAGACCTGCCTGTTCATCTCTGGGTCACAACCCCAACATCAGCCTGGCCAGGAGGAAAGCTGGCCGAAGGGGTGACAGGCAATATCATCGGCCTGCCAGGCATCATGTAACTACTCTCAGGGGCCGTGGCCAGGCCAGACGGTGAGATGGAATGCAGAAAGAATGCAGAATAGAGCTGGGCGACAGAGAGACCGGCTGATGCCAGTCCAGCCGCGAGCCACCTGGGTAGCTACAGACTTCCCTCTAATGTCACTGGTTAGGAAAGTGAGCTGATGGTACACCATGAACCCAGACTGAAGGCCAGAGGACCAAACCTTTGTAGCCCATGAAGCCCATTTGTTATGGTAACAATTTTAGAAGGGCTCAGCAGCATTTTTGAAAAGGTTGTTTTGTTTTGTTTTGTTTTGAGACAGGGTCTCGCTCTGTTGCCCAGGTTATAGTGCTATGGTGCAAACACACCTCACTGCAGCCTTGACCTCCTGGGCTCAAGCGATTCTCCCACCTCAGCCTCCCACGTAGCTGGGACCATGGGTGCATGCCACCATGCCCATCTAATTTTTTAAATTTTTTGTAGAGACGGGGGTCTCCCTAGGTTGTCCAGGCTGGTCTCAAACTCCTGGGCTCCAGTGATCCTCCTGCCTCAGCCTCCCAAAGTGCTGGGCTTACAGGTGTGAGCCACCATGCCAGGCTAAGGTTTTTTTTCCGTAACTAGAAAGTCAGAACTCCCTTCCCAATAATAAATTATCTGGCCAAGAATTAATCTCACCTAGCTAGCAAAATTGTTATCTTTTCTCTTTCTTTCTTTTTTTTTTTTTTTTTTTTTTTTTTTTTAGGAATAGAGACAGGAGGCCAGCACTCCTGTGAGGTGAGACAGGAGGTGGCTCACACCTGTAATCCCAGCACTTTGGGAGGCCAAGGTGGGTGGACCACTTGAGGTCAGGAGTTCTAGACCAGCCTGGGCAACATGGCAAAACCCTGTCTCTACAAAAAATAGAAAAATTGACTGGATGTGGTGGCACGCACCTGTAGTCCCAGCTGTTCGGAAGGCGAAAGCAGGAAGATCACTTGAGCCCAGGAGGCTGAGGCTGCACTGAGCCATGATTGCACCACTGCACTTCAGCCTGGGCTGCAGAGTGAGACCCTGTCCCCACCACAAAAAACAATAATAAATAAGAGGCCGGGCGTGGTGGCTCACGCCTGTGATTCCAGCACTTTGGGAGGCCAAGGCAGATGGATCATTTGAGGTCAGGAGTTCAAGACCAGCCTGGCCCACATGGTGAAACCCCATCTCTACTAAAAATACACAAAAAAATTAGCTGGGCGTCATGGCAGGTGCCTGTAATCCCAGCTACTCCAGAGGCTGAGGCAGGAGAATCACTTGAACCCGGGAGGCAGAGGTTGCAGTGAGTTGAGATCACGCCACTGCACTGCACACTCCAGCCTGGGCAACACAGCAAGACTCCATCTCAAAAAATAAATAAATAAATAAAATAATAACAAATAAGAACAGAGATAGGGTCTTGCTTTGTTGCCCAGGCTGATTTCAAACTTCTGGCTTCCAGTGATTCTCCCACTTTGGCCTCCCAAAGTACTAGGATTACAGGCGTGAGCCACTGTGCCTGGCCAATAAAATTGTTTTCTTATGTGTCTTTTCATGTTCAGCCACGAAGCCTTAAAATTGAATACAGAGATGAAGGAAATCAAAGCCCCAGAATTAAGACTTTTATATTATATTTAAGAATCATCAGGCCAGGCACGTTGGCTCAAGCCTGTAATCCTAGCACTTTGGGAGGCTGAGGCGAGTGGATTGCCTGAGGTCAGGAGTTCAAGACCAGCCTGGCCAGCATGGAGAAACCCCATCTCTACTATAAATATAAAAACTAGCCAGGAGTGGTGGTGTGCACCTGTAATCCCAACTACTTGGGGGGCTGAGGCAGAAGAATCGTTTGAACCCAGGCGATGGAGGTTGCAGTGAGCCAAGATTGCACTACTGTACTCCAGCCTGGGCGACAGAGCAAGACTCCATCTCAAAAAAAAAAAAAAAAAAAAAGAATCATCTGGGCTATTTGGTGTTTTAAGTATTTGCAATGTATAAAAAAATTTGGGCCAGGCACAGTGGCTCATGCCTGTAATCTCAGCACTTTGGGAGGCCAAGATGGGCTGATCATGAGGTCAGGAGTTCAAGACCAGCCTGACCAACACGGTGAAACCCTGTCTCTACAAAAAACACAAAAAATTGGCCGGGCGCGGTGGCTCACGCCTGTAATCCCAGCACTTTGGGAGGCTGAGGCGGGTGGATCACAAGGTCAGGAGATCGAGACCATCCTGGCTAACACAGTGAAACCCCGTCTCTACTAAAAATACAAAAATTAGCCAGGCGTGGTGGTGGGTGCCTGTAGTCCCAGCTACTCGGGAGGCTGAGGCAGGAGAATGGCGGGAACCTGGAAGGCAGAGCTTGCAGTGAGCCAAGATCATGCCACTGTACTCCAGCCTGGGCAACAGAGTGAGACTCCATCTCAAAAAAAAAAAATTTAGCCGGGCGTGGTGATGAGCACCTGTAATCCCAGCTACTCGGGAGGCTGAGGCAGGAGAATTGCTTGAACCCGGGAGGCAGAGGTTGCAGTGAGCCAAGACCACACCACTGCACTCCAGCCTGGGCAACAGAGCGAGACTCCGTCTCAAAAAAAAAGGAAGGGAAGGAAGGGAAGGAAAGAAGGAAAGGAAGGAAGGAAAGGAAGGAAGGAAGAAAGAGAGGGAAAAGAAAAGAAAGATCATAATCATAATTGCACCATTACACTCCAGCCTGGGCAACAGAGCAAGACCCTATCTCAAAAAGAAAGAAATAAGAAAGTAGGAGAGAGAAAGAAGGAAAGAGAGAAAGAAGGAAAGAAAGAAAAGAAGGGAGGGAGGAAGGGAGGGAGGAAGGGAGGAAAGAAGGATGGAAGGAAGGAAAGAAGGAAGGAAGGAGGAAGGAAGGAAGGAAGGAAATTTACATTCTCTCCTAGGAATGTGTATTTCTAGTGGTAGGGCAACCCACCACTAATACACATGAAACTGGTCATGTAAACATGCTCTTCTCTTTCTCTCCCCCAGGGAAATATTGTCTGTGAAGCAAGATTCTCACATTTCTTTTCAAATCCTCTTCCCATGGGCTAGCCCCTCTGGGAATGCACAGGTCCCTGGTGACCCAGCTGGCCAGCTAGACCAAAGCCACTGGCTGCCTTTCTTTTTGAGCCTGGATCTTCAAAGGAGATCCACTTACAAACTGTCTTAGTCCCTTTGGACTGCTGTAGCAAAATACCATAAGCTGGGTATTTCAATAAACAACAGAAATGTATTTCTCACCGTTCTGGATGCTGGGAAGTCCAAGACCAAAGCACCAGTAGATTTGGTGTCTGGTGAGGGCACATTCTCTGGTTCATAGATGGTGGGTTTTTTTGGTTTGTTTTTGTTTTTGTTTTTTTGACACAGGGTCTTGCTCTGTCCCCCAGGCTGGGGTGCAGTGGCACGATCTCAGCTCACTGCAGCCTTAACTTCCCGGGCTCAAGCGATCCTCCCACTTCAGCCTCCTGAGTAGCTGGGACTACTGGCACCCACCATCACACCTGGCTAGTTTTTATATTTTTTGTAGAGATGGGGTTTCACACTGTTACCCAGGCTGGTCTTGAACTCCTGGGCTCAAACAATGCTCCCTCTTCAGCTTCCCAAAGTGCTGGGATTACAGGCATGAGCCTCAGTGCCCAGCCCATGGTGCCTTTGGACTCTGTCCTCAAGTGGCAGAAGGCGAGAACTCTGGTCTCTTCAATCCCTTACAAGGGCACTAATCCCATTAATGAGGGGCCCACCCTCAAGTGCTAATTACCTCCTGAAGATCCCACCTTTTAATACCATCACACTGTGGATTAGCTTTCAACACAGAAATTTGGGTAGACACAAACATTCAGGCCACAGCACAAATATTTGACATCTGGCAAACACTGACTTATAAAAAATCTATGCCCAGGCTCACACCTGGAATCCCAACACTTTGGGAGGCCAAGACAGAAGGATCAGTTGAGGCCAGGAGTTTAAGACCAGCCTGGGCAACCTAGTGAGAACTCGTCTCTACAAAAAATAAACAAAACATTATCCAGGCTCCGTGGTACATGCCTGTAGTCTCAGCTGCTCGGGAGGCTGAGAGGAGAGAATCACTTGAGCCAAAGAGGTTGAGGCTGCAGTGAGCTATGATTATGCCACTGAGCTCTAGTCTGGGCCACAGAGCAAGACTCTGTCTCAAAAAAAGAAAAAAAATGCTATGCCCAGTGTTCCCCCGGGAAGTATTATTTGCAAAGTCACGACCTGAGCCCATGGTTTTCAGAGATCCCCTGACACCAACAAGCAACTCCCCAGTCTCTACTGTCTGGATTCAGCAGGGTCGATGCCAGGGAGGACCAAAATCCCAGAATCATGGCAGGCGGAGAGCACAGAGGGCCAACACCTTTCAGTGAGGTGCAATTAACAAAACTTAATATATACAAAGTCTTAGGAAACCTCTGCCCAGAGAAGGGGGCATCTGAGTGTAACTGTGTTTCTTGTGCTTGTGAATGGGGTATCCTGGGGTGGTGATTAAGGGCTCCGGGGTCAGACCAGACTTCACCGAGGTTTTTTTTTTGTTTTGAGATGGAGTCTCACTCTGTCATCCAGGCTGGAGTGCAGCGGCACGATCTCGGCTCACTGCAACCTCTGCCTGCCCGGTTGAAGCGATTCTCCTGCCTCAGCCTCCCGAGTACCTGGGGTTACAGGCATGTGCCACCACGCCAGGCTAATTTTTGCATTTTTAGTAGAGACGGGTAAATTTTTGTATTTTGAGTGATCCACCCACCTCAGCCTCCCAAAGTGCTGGGATTCAACGCGTCAGCCACCGTGTCCGGCCATCGTTTTTGTTTAAAATATTTTTTAACACCACAGCTTCTTTCACATATTAATTTACTCATTCATTCCACAAATATATATATATATATATAATTTCTTTTTTTGAGACAGAGTCTTGCTCTGTCACCCAGGCCAGAGTGCAATGGTGCGATCTTGGTTCACCGCAACCTCCACCTCCCAGGTTCAAGTGATTCCCCTGCCTCAGCCTCCCAAGTAGCTGGGATTACAGACATGTACCACCATGCCTGGATAACTTTTTGTATTTTTATATTTCTTTATTTATTTTTTTTTCTGAGATGGAGTCTTGCTCTGTCACCCATGCTGGAGTGCAGTGGCACTCTCTCTGCTCACTGCAACCGTTACCTCGATTCTCCTATCTCAGTCCCCCAGGTAGCTGGGATTACAGGCACCCGCTACCACGCCTGGCTAATTTTTTGTATTTTTAATAGAAATGGAGTTTCATCATGTTGGCCAGGCTGGTCTCAAACTCCTGACCTCAGGTGATCTACCCACCTAGGCCTCCCAAAGTGTTGGGATTACAGGCGTGAGCCACTGCACCCGGCCTAGGCTTCTCTGTTTCTTAGCGCTATTGTCTCTACTTGTTTCTTCAGGGTAGCAAAGGTCCCTATTCCAGAGAGTTGCTGGAAGAATTAGATGTGATACTGTACCTAGATCTCTTAGCCCAGAACCTGGCACTTAAGATTTTATTTTATTTTTATTTTTTTTCTTTTTTATTTATTTATTTTGGCACTTAATATTTTAGAACTAATGATTATAAAATGTGATTAGATAACAACTACTAGAATGATGACCACTATTATTATAAAAGAACTATGGTCCGAGCCAGACATGGTGGTTCATGCCTGTAATCACAGCACCTTGGGAGGCCGAGGTGGGAGGATCACTTGAGGTCAGGAGTTCAAGACCAGCCTGGGCAACATAGCAAGACGACAGGCGTGGTTGCTGATGCCTGTATTCCCAGCACTTTGGGAGGCCGAGGATTACTTGAGGTCAGGAGACCAGCCTGGCCAACACCAGTGAAACCCCATCTCTACTAAAAATACAAAAAAATTAGCTGGGTGTGGTGGTACATGGCTGTAGTCCCAGCTACTAGGGAGGCTGAGGCAAGAAAATTGCTTGAACCTGGGAGATGGAGGTTGCAGTGAGCCAAGATCATGCCATTGCACTCCAGCCTGAGCAACAGATCAAGACTCCATCTCAAAAAAAAAAAAAAAAAAAAAAAAAAAAAAGAGCCCAGGCATGGTAGCTCACGCCTATAATCCCAGCATTTTGGGAGGCCAAGGCAGGTGGATCACATGAGGTCAGGAGTTTGAGACCAGCCTGGCCAACATAGTAAAACCCCATCTCTACTAAAAATACAAAAATTAGCCAGGCGTGGCAGAGTGCACCTATAATCCCAGCTACTTGGGAGGCTGAGGCAGGAGAATTGCTGGAACCCAGGAGGTGGAGATTGCAATGAGCCAAGATCGCACCACTGCACTCCACCCTGGGTAACAGAGTGAGACTGTGTCTCAAAAAAAATTTAAATAAATAACTATGGTGTATGGTAGACTGAATAATCCCCCCTTCTGCCAAAATTATCCAGGTCCTAACCTCTGGAATTTGTGAATGTTTCCTTATATGGCAAAAATAACTTTGCAGATATAATGACGTTAAGGTGGGTGGGGGGATCTTTGTTTTTTAGAGACGAGGTCTCCCTACGTTGCCCAGGCTGGTCTCGAATTCCTAAGCTAAAGTTATCCTCCTGCCCCAGCTTCCCAAACTGCTGAAATTACAGGTGTGAGCCACCACACCTGGCCGAAGTTATAGGTTTTGAGACAAGAAGATTATCCTGGAGTATCTAGGTGGGAGGCAACCCAGACCCCCACACGGCCTCCTGTGACACCCTTGCAGACAGTAGTCTCTCCAGGTGGCATGTGGCTTGAGAATTTTTTTGGAGCTTACTCTATGAGTCTGTGCCTGTCTAGGTATTGTGGCTCACGCCTGTAATCCCAGCACTTTGGGAAGCTGAGGCGGAAGGATTGCTTGAGCCCAGGAGACCAGCCCTGGGAACATGGTGATACCCTATCTTTACCCCAAAAAAAAAAAAAAAAGCCAGGTGTGGTGGTGCACACCTGTAGTCCCAGCTACTTGGGAGGTTGAGGTGGGAGGATCACTTGAACCCAGGAGGTCGAGGCTGTCATGAGCCATGATCATGCCACTGCACTCTAGCCTGGGCAACAGAGCAAGACCTTGTCTCAAAACAAAACAAAAAAAAGTGTGTGTGTGTGTGTGTGTGTGTGTGTGTGTGTGCCTTCAGTTCTGTGTGTGTGTGTACCTGTCTCTATCCCTACCAGGGGTTGTGTCTCTATGTCTCTATTTATATCTAAATGGATATTTTTTGTGCCCTACATTTTCCAAGAGGATTCCTTGCAAGTTTCCTTTTTTGTTCAGAAGATCTTCCTGGCCGGGCACGGTGGTTCACACCTGTAATCCCAACACTTTGGGAGGCTGAGGCAGGTGGATCACATGGTCAGGAGTTTGAGACCAGCCTGGCCAATATGGTGAAACTCCATCTCTACTAATAATACAAAAATTAGCCAGGCATGGT
Source organism: Homo sapiens (assembly GCF_000001405.40). Taxonomy (NCBI): domain Eukaryota; kingdom Metazoa; phylum Chordata; class Mammalia; order Primates; family Hominidae; genus Homo; species Homo sapiens. The sequence goes on along the minus strand of NW_014040929.1, from coordinate 391,444 downwards.
GGTGGGCGCCTGTAATCCCAGCTACTCAGAAGGCTGAGGCAGGAGAATTGCTTGAACTCGGGAGGCGGAAGTTGCAGTGAGCCGAGATGGCACCACTGCACACAGCCTGGGCGACAGAGAAAGACTCTGCCTGAAAAAAAAAAAAAAAAAGATTTTTCTCTATCTGGTAAGCTTTTAATTTTTAACTTTCTGCCCTCCAACTATGCACATCTTCACAGTGCAGATGTATCTCTAATTGATTAACTGGGTCCCTTGACAGCCATCACTAAGGCAAAGCTGGACTGCTTTGTTTTGGGCATTTCTTTTGTCTTCTAAAGGCTCATAATGTAGGAGTCTGCAGGGCCAGGCTCCCGGCTGAGTGCTTCGAGAGGATCATCCCAGGAGTTGCCACCGATGCAGGATTTTTCTCAGCCACATTGCTGCCCAGAGACCTCTGGCCAGCAATGCCACTGCCCTGGCCTTGCACTGTTCCCAGGTTTGTTGCAGGAGGCACCCTGCCCACTCAGCCCACCAGGGCACAGCTGGATTGCACTCTGGCATGGATCCCACAGCCACCGTGACTTTGCACTCAGCCCCTGGGTGGGAGGGGGTGTGTGAACTAGCAAGTGTGGGGTCCCACTGGCCCCTGCAAGCACTGACACAGGGGCAGGCTCCATGTAGGGTTTGTGGCTGGACCAGGTGTGTTGCAAGCGGCTCCCACTGTGTACTCTGGCGTTCAGACAAGGAGAACACGGCGGCACCCAAACAGGGAAGCCCATGACCCTGAAGTCCCAGAGGTGGTGTTATAGCATGCTAACAGCTCTGTTAGTCCCTCCACAGCCTGACGAAAGGAGGCATGTTAGTAGTTCTGTTATGTTGCCCCACTCTGGCCTGTAGCTCCAGGGCTGGCCTGGTCTTGCCACTGCTTTCTGTTGCATGGGGTGGCCGCTAGGCACCAATCGTGGGGAGCTATGGTGCTACTGCCTTCTTTGTACCTACATTCGGCAGGGTCCCAAGTTCTTGTCCCACGTCCAAGAAGAATGAGATCACACTTACAATCCAAGGGTGAGAAGGGTGGAGAAGATTTTTATTATTAAGTGACATAAAAGCTCTCAGCAGAGAGGGGATGTGAGGGTAGTCCCCCACCTGAAGTCAGGTGGTCTCTCCCTCAGTGTGGCTGGGTCTGGGGCTTTTATGGACTTAGAATGGGGGAGTGCATGCTGATTGGTTTGTGAGTATGCAAAAGAGGCTAAAACAAAGGCACCATTCAAAGATGGGCATGACAGTGTAAAAAACCAATTACGGGCTGGGTGTGGTGGCTCACACCTGTAATCCCAGCACTTTGGGAGGCCAGGGCAGGCAGATCACCTGAGGTCAGGAGTTTGAGACCAGGCTGGCCAACATGGTAAAACCCTGTCTCTATTAAAAATTCAAAAATGAGCCAGGCGTGGTAGCGGGCACCTGTAATCCCAGCTACTTGGGAGGCTGAGGCAGGAGAATTGCTTGAACCCAGGAGGCGGAGGTTGCAGTGAACCAAGATCATGCCACTGGACTCCAGCCTGGGCAACAGAGCGAGACTCCATCTCAAAAAAAGAAAGAAAAGAAAAAAAAATTAGGGAAGGGTAGGTACATGTAAAATAGATGAAGGGTGGGGAGGAATCAGAGGAAAGTGCACCAAACAGGAAGACAAGTTCTCAATCTGGTCCGTGGATTTATCTGAGACTTGCAGCTTGGCCTTCAGGCTTAAAACTGTCTTTGGCTTGAAGATGAGGTTTCACTGGGGAACCACCCCTATCTGCCAAGGGATTTGACTGCCTCCTGCCACTATCACCACCACAGATAACCACAAGCCAGGATATTAACGTTATGGATGATGGGCCCAGGCAATGCACTGCACAAGGTAAGGGACTGTGAGAACACGTGCCCTATAGCGTAGGCCATCTCTCCAGAGGCTGGAAAGTTAGATTTGTATGTGACATCCGTCCATTTTTCACTGTTTGCAATAATTGCACCATTTTTTTTTTGAGTCGGAGTCTCACTTTGTCGCCTAGGCTGGAGTGCAGTGGAGCAATCTCAGCTGACTGCAGCCTCTACCTCCTGGGTTCAAGTGATCTTCACACCTCAACATCCCAAGTAGCTGGGATTACAGGCATCTGCCACCACTCCAGGCTAATTTTTGTATTTATATTTGTATTTTTTTATATTTATTTATTTTTGAGACAAACTTTTGTTCTGTCACCCAGGCTGGAGTGCAGTGGCACGATCTCAGCTCACTGCAACCTCCGCCTCCTGGGTTCAAGTGATTCTCCTGCCTCAGCCTCCCAAGTAGCTGGAACCACAGGTGCCCTCCACCACACCTGGCTAATTTTTGTATTTTTAGTAGAGACAGGATTTCACTATATTGGCCAGGCTAGTCTCAAACTCCTGACCTTCTGATCCGCCCGACTTGGCCTCCTAAAGTGCTGGGATTACAGGAGTGAGCCACTGCACTGGCCCATTGCACCATTTTTAAAACACAACACCTGACCAGTAATTGCAGAAAAATGGGCAAAGGTGATTAATGACAAACTATGTAGAAAGAAATGCAAATAGCTCTTAAACACATGAAAAGATGACCAATGTCCTCATCTTAGGAGAAATGCGAAGGAAGATACCAGGGCAATACCTTTTTTTGTTTTCTTTTGACTTCTTAGATAGGCAAAGATGTAAACTTCGTTTGTTTGTTTGTTTGTTTTGAGACAGAGTCTTGCTGTGTTGCCCAGGCTAGAGTGCAGTGGCACAATCTCAGCTCAGTGCAACCTCCGCCTCCTGGGTTCAAGCAATCCTCCTGCCTCAGCCCTCCTAGTAGCTGGGACTGCAGACACATGCCACCACACCCAGCTAATTTTTGTATTTTTAGTAGAGACGGGGTTTTGCCATGTTGGCCAGGCTGGTCTCAAACTCCTGACCTCAGGTGATCCGCCTGCCTTGGCCTCCCAAAGTGTTGGGATTACAGGCGTGAGCCACCGCGCCCGGCCTGTTTATTTGTCTTGAGATAGAGTCTTGCTCTGTCACTCAGGCTGGAGTACAGTGGCACCATTACAGCTCACTGCAGCCTTAACCTCCCAGGCTCAGGCGGTCCTCCTGCCTCAGCCCCCCAAGTAGCTAGAACCACAGTCACACACCATCATAGCCAGGTAATTTTTAAATTTTTTGTAGAGATGGGGGTCTCACTATGTTGCACAGGCTGGTCTTGAACTCCTGGTCTCAAGTGATCCTGCTGCCTCCCAAAGCACTAGGATTACAGACATGAGCCACCGTGCCCGGCCAATGTAAACATTTGATAACACATCAGATTGGCAAATGTCAGGGCCTCCTAGTTCAGTTCTTCTTGGTTGATGGGAATGACAGTTGAGGTTTTATTGTGATAGAAGGCTTTAGATTTAATTGGGTAGAAACAGGCCTTGCTCAGCAGAAAGAGCTGCAAAGTAGGCACATCAGCCTGCACCATGTGAGGAGACACCAGGAACAAATGTGACTCCGAGGGAAAGCACGACCAAGACCATAAATAAAACCTCTCTTCCTGTTCAGATCCAAGCACATGGACAGGCTCTGAGTGACAACCGCATTCAGTGGGCTGCCCTGCTAGAGGTTCCCCAGGCCTCTCCACCGGTCCTGAATCATCAGCCTTCCTGAAACTGGCTCTGACCTAAAGCCGAAACCTCAGCAGGTCTGAGGCGGTTACCAGGGCTCCTTATATTGGGTGAGTCAAATCACACTCCCTGCAGGAAAGGAGTCTAAAAACTAGAATACCAATAATAAAGAAACAAGGCCAGATGCAGTGGCTTATGCCTGTAATCCCAGCATTTTGGGAGGCCAAGGCAGGCGGATTGTTGAGCTAATGAGTTCGAGACCAGCCTGGGCAGCATGGCGAAACCTCATCTCTACAAAAAATACAAAGATTAGCCGGGCATGGTGGCGTGCCCCTGTAGTCCCAGCTACTTGAGGGGCTGAGGTGGGAGGATCACTTGAGCCCAGGAGATCAAGGCTGCAGTGAGCTGTGATCATGCCACTGCACTCCAGCCTGGGTAACAGAGCCAGACGCTGACTCAAAAATAAATCAATAAATGAAAAATAAACAATTCCACTTTTTGTAATAATAACAATAAAGAAACAAGCTCAAGTCCATGGGTATCAGCACACTGGTGACACGTGTCAGCACAAGTATGCATTAGCTTTGTAATCATTATAATAACACACAATTGCTTTGTCTATTTGTTAAGGTATTTACAACAATCGCAAACATCTGACATTAGATTTGGGAAGGCTTTAAGCGATGGCTTTTGGAAGGAATGTTGAAATGATTAGGGAAATCTGGTTTCGAGGAAGACTTAGAGGAACAACTGTTTAATGTTTTATCAAAGAACAAAGATTAGTTAGTATTCTTGTCCCTACATATGCAAGCCCCTGGATGTCAGAGAATTGAGCAGCATGAAGAAATGGCTACTTACGGCCAGGCGTGGTAGCTCACGCTTGTAATCCCAGTACTTTGGGAGGCCAAGACAGGCAGATCACCTGAGGTCAAGAGTTCGAGACCAGCCTGGCCAACATGGCCAAACCCCCTCTCTACTAAAAATACAAAAATTAGCCAGGCGTGGTGGCGCGTTCCTGTAATCCCAGCTACTCGGGAGGCTGAGGCACAAGAATTGCTTGAGCCCGGGAGGTGGAGCTTGCAGTGAGCCAAGATCTAGCCACTGCACTCCAGCCTGGGCAACAGAGCGAGACTCCGTCTCAAAAAACTAAAATAAAATAAATAAACCCCCCAAAATCCGGAATGCAAAACAAACCTAGGCCTACGCCTTTCACATAAGGAACTGCGTGTGGATCTGTGCTAAAAACTCTACCAATAATACAGTAATTTTACAACCCACAGCAGAAAATGCTTTCAAAGGCGGTTGTTACAAATAATGTAATAGTAGTCAAATTAGCGTTGGCTCTGAGTCCAGCACTGTGCTCCGCGCTGCACACGCAGTCTCACGCCGTCCTCACGATGGCGCTGTGGGGCCTGGCTGAGGTTTCTAGGGGAAGGGGCTTTAGGGAATCCAGGCTCTCTGGCTGTGTGACCCCTCCAAGCTAGCGACTTGGACTACGTGCAACAGACCAGGTATCTCTGGACTTCAGTTTCTCGGGAGAGGCGTCCATGAGGAGGTCATGCATACAAAGCATTTAGCACAGTGGCAGATATGAGCCAGTGGGCCTGGAGAATGATTTACCAGCGTGGGGGAGGCCTGGCTTCCAGAAAACTAGCTCTGGGGTGTCTGAGATCAGTCACCTTGAGGTCCCTGGTGCAATCTAGGGCCATCAGAAGGGACTGCAAAGACCCAAGGGCAGAGGTAAAGGGAGAAAATGGGTCGCGGCCCCAGCCTGACCGAAACTGAACCTCCGGATTAATTCAGTTGTCTATAGCTGGGGGGATGGGGAGGACAGGGGAGTCCTAAGGTGGAAGGGTACAGGTTTGTCATTGCCACAGAGAGTGCGTGTGGTGAAGGGATTTAATTTAAGATCAGCCCCGGGCTTCTGAGAATCTGGCCCTGGGAAGCAACGTAAATACAAGAAAATCCCTGTGGCCAGGGACTTTGATCCAAGTGTTTCGAATCAGGCCCTGGGTCGGGCTCACAGCTAAGCGGTTTACCAACCGTGGACCTGTGCAGGATCCCATGGATGTGAGGGGTGGAGACGGCCGCAAGCAGGAGGCCAGGACCAGAAGGAAACGGAATTTGGGTGGGGGTGGGGAGCTAGGACCAGTCCCCCCGCGGGGGCGTCTTGGGGATGTGGAACTCGCACACCCAGAGGAGGTGGCTCTCCCAGGGGTGGGCCCCGGATCCTAGGGGCGCGGGGCTGGCCCCGCTCCCCGCTGGCCTCGCGGCAACTGGGCCTCCCCCTCGCTGCACGCAGCCCTCCAAGCTCCCCCGCCCGCCCGCCCTCGCTCCCGCTGGGCCCCGCAGCCGGAGGAGGGGCGGCCTCCCGCCCCCGCCCGCTGGATCTCAGAGTCGCCGCCCCCGGCGCCGGGCTGCAGCCGCCACGCCCCGGGAGAGGACCGACCGCCCAGACCGCCGGTCCCGGGGCCCCCTGGGCCACGCCGATCACGGGGAGCCCCTCGACTGCCTCCCAGAACAAAGTGGGAAAGGGAAGCTTAGCCCGCCGCTGCCGCCTCCGAGCAGCCCGCCAGGTGAGCGCCGGGACAGGTAGGGGACCCAGGTCGGGACCCAAGCGTCAGTCCCGTTCTCGCCCACAGCTGGGGCGCCCCGGGAAGGATTCCCGCGCCAGGCCCTGCCCGGAGGGGCGGGTCCCTGGGAGTCCCATAACCCGCAGCGTCGCTTTCCCGGGCCCTCCCTCGGCCTGAGGCTCCTTTAAACCCAAAGTTATACAAATGCACGTTAGAAAGCCCTAAATCTGGAAGGGCTTTGCTTTGAACGTGGGTGTTCGAACGCCCAGGCCTCTCCATCCCTGCGCTCGTCCGCGGAGGCCACCATCCAAAACCCCTGCCAAACGCTGCAAACCAACACGTGGGCGCAACAGCCCGGGGAAGGCCAGGCCGCTTTTTACCGTTGCTGGATTTTCTGTCTTCTGGCCGTCAGTCCCTTCGCAGAATCTGTGAATCAGAAGCCTTGGAGGGCGGTTTCTCGATTTAGCAACTTGGGCACATTATGTGTTTCGCTGCGGCCCCAACCCTCAATTTAAATTTTGTTCTGCCAAGTTACTTTTGCAATGTTCAGTGATATGTTCGAAAGCTCTGTATACTGCCTCTTCAACTTTAGACAGCGTCTATTTACTCCATATTTTGAAAGACAAATATTATGGGAGTCTAGTTGTAAAATAAATAATACTTCTTTAAAAATGTTCCAGTAATACACGACACTCAGACACGTAGGACAGGACAGAGCTTTGCATGGAAAACAACACGCCTTTAAACAACAACCTCTCCCTCACCACCGCCCCCAACCCCTGTCGGCCAAATACATTTTTTTGTTAACTACATTACTTTTCAAAAATGGCAAGAAGTAACTCGTGATCGCTGGTGCCTCGTTTTTAACTTTTTCCACTTTTTATTCCTCTGGTATCTATTTCCAAATCTTTACAGCATATTTTTGGATTGTTATTTCTTATTTCATCAACTTTTAGACAACGCGTCCATGGATCCCTTGCTAAAAATAGGAGACAACTTTGATCATCTCCGTGGTTTTCCTCCTCCCTATATAATCACCTCCCTGTATAGTCAGGACATTACTTTCGGCTTCTCTATTGGCTACTTTTCTAACATAAAATAATTTTTTTAACTTGTATTTATTGTTCCATTAAATATACCTAGTATCTGTTGACTCTCTTTTTGTAAGGCTTGGCTAAGGAGCTTCTTTTTAAAAAATATATTTTTAGGCCGGGCGTGCGCGGTGGCTCACGCTTGTAATCCCAGCACTCTGGGAGGCCGAGGCGGGCGGATCACCTGAGGTCAGGAATTCAAGACCAGCCTGGCCAACATGAACCCCGTCTCTACTAAAAGTACAAAAATTAGCCAGGCGTGGTGGTAGGCGCCTGTAATCCCAGCTACTCAGGAGGCTGAGGAAGGAGAATCGCTTGAACCCTGGAGGTGGAGGTTGCAGTGAGCCAAGATTGTGCCATTGCACTCCAGCCTGGGTGACAAGAGCAAGACTCTGTCTCAAAAAAAAAAAAACTATATATGTACATATATATATGTGTGTATATATATGTGTATATATATATATGTATATATATATATACACATATATATTTGAGACCCTGTCTCAAATCAAATCAAATCAAATCAAAACTGTGTTGCCCAGGCTGGAGTACAGTGTCGTAATCATGGCTCACTGCAGCCTCAACCTCCTGGGCTCAAGAGATCCTCCCACCTCAGCCTCCTGAGTAACTAGGGCTACAGGTGCACGCCCCCCCACCAAACCCCACTAATTTTTTTATTTTTTGTGGATACGGGGTTTTGCCGTGTTACCCAGGCTGGTCTCGAACTCCTGGGCTCAAGCCATCTGCTCGTCTTGGCCATCAAAAGTCCTGGGATTACAGGTGTGAGCCACCGGCGCCCAAACAAAAAGATATATTTTTAAAATAACATTTTTGTATTTATGTAAATATTAATTTCTTCAATTCTAATCAAATTCTACATATGGCTTAGAAATCAAATAGAAAAGTTTGCCTTAATTTTTTCTATAATAAAAGTATGTAATCTCTTTTAGAAGAATGGAAAACGAAGTGTTTTAGATTAAAAGAGATGAGTGAGACCTGCCACCCCCACTGGTGTTTGAGCCCCCACGGGGATCTTGTTAGGAGGAAACAGCCACAGAAGACCTGCTAGAGACAGCAGGGGAAATTGTTCACGGAGTGGGTATTGATGGCAGAATGAATTTTTGAGGCAGAATCTCTCTCTGTCGCCCAGGCTGGAGTGCAGTGGCACAATCTCGGCTCACTGCAACCTCCACCTCCTGGGTTCAAGCGATTCTCCTGCCTCAGCCTCCCTAGTAGCTGGGATTACAAGCATGTGCCACCACGCCTGGCTAATTTTTTTGTATTTTTAGTAGAGATGGGGTTTCACCGTGTTGGTCAGCCTGGTCTCGAACTCCTGACCTCGTGATCCACCCGCGTTGGCCTCCCAAAGTGCTGGAATTACAAGCGTGAGCCACCACGCCTGGCCAGGTTGCCCTTAATCTTAGGAGATTCATTAGGAAGTACTGAAGAGTAGTTCATCAAGGCCGCCAGGCCGGTGACTTATGCCTGTAATGCCAGCACTTTGGGAGGCTGAGGAGTTCGAGACCAGCCTGGCCAACATGTTGAAACCCTGTCTCGACAAAAATAAAAATTTAGCAGGGCATGATGGCGGGTACCTGTAATCCCAGCTACTTAGGAGGCTGAGGCGGGAGAATAGCTTGAACCCAGGAGGTGGAGCTTGCAGTGAGCCGAGATCGCGCCATTGCACCCCAGCCTGGGCGACAAGAGCAAAACTCTGTCCAAAAAGAAAAGAGAGAGTGCAAATATGGCAAAATATGGAGCAGATAGTGATGTTCATTTGATTACTCTTTCAACTTGTCTATAGAATGAAATTTCATAGTAAAAATTGGGAGAAAATAAAGTAAGATTATTTTGAAACAAAGAAAGAGACAGAAGACATGTATACAGTAGCACAAACTATGGAGTCCAATATACCAAGATTCAAATCCCAGCAGGTTTTTTTTTTTTTTCTTTGAGATGGGGTCTCACTCTGTCGCCCAGGCTGCAGTGCAGTGGCACAATCACAGCTCACTGCAACCTTGACCTCCTGGGTTCAAGCAATTCTCCTGCCTCAGCTTCCTGAGTAGCTGGGATTACAGGTGCGTGCCACCACACCCAGCTAATTTTTATATTTTTAGTAGAGATGGGGTTTCATCATGTTGGCCAGGCTGGTCTCGAACTCCTGACCTCAGGTGATCCACCTGCCTTGGCCTCCCAGAGTGCTGGGGATAACAGGTGTGAGTGAGCCACTGCTCCCGGCCTAGTTTTTTTGTTTGTTTTTTTCTATCATTCTTTTCCCTTGGTCCCAGCTTATAAAACCCACCATTCTCTTACTACCCAGTGGGGGTCTCAGTCTGTTTTGTAAAATGGAGGCTGCCCCATTCAAGAATCTTGAATAAAAGCCCATTAGATCTATAACTAAATTTGTTGTAATTTTGTCTTTTGACATGGCTCTGTTGCTTCTTTGTTGGGTGACCTTGGGCACGTTGCTGTCATCCTCCAAGCCTCAGTTTCCCCATGTGCCTACTTCATGGGGTGGTTTGAGGCTTCTGTGAGATTTTGTAAAGCAATTCCCACATGCCTAGAGCAAAGTAAGTGCTCAGTTAACAGTAGCTGTTAGTATTCTGTGAAGGCATCTCCTTAACTATTATAGCCTGTTCACCTATGACTAACACTGTCAACATAACTGCTGCAGCTGGGCCCTTTTTCTTTTCTTCTTTTTTTTTTTTTAATTGGCACAGGGTTTCACTCTCACCCAGGCTGGAGTGCAGTGGCACAGTCTTGGCTCACTGCAGCCTCAACTTCCTGGGCTCAAGTGATCCTCCCACTTCAGCCTCCCGAGTAGCTGGGACCACAAGTGCACACCACCATGCCTGGCTAATTGTTAAATTTTGTTTGTAGAGACAGGGGTCTCACTATGTTACCCAAGCTGGTCTTAAACTCTTGGGCTCAAGCCATCCTCCTGCCTTGGCCTCTCAAAGTGCTGGGATTACAAGCGTGAGCCACAGCACCCAGTCACCACCCATTTTTCTAGGGATAGATTTGGAACTTGGTATTTTCTTTTTCCTTTTGCAAATTCAACGAATGATCGTGCCAGAGGTTCAGTTTTTGTCCTGCTGTGTTTCGCCTTGTTTTTTCCTAAGCGTGTCTGTCCTTATCCCACATTCTTCTAGTCTCTGATGGCAGCATATGGAGGTGCCCACGTGGACTCCTCCAATCCCATAGCTGGGTGTTTGCTGCTAATCATAGTAACTCCTCACAGTGGCAGCAAACATTTGTCGAGGGCCAGACCCTGATCTCATGAAATTTCCCTACAACCGTGAGGGGCAGGGGTTATTAGAGGTCCATCATCTCTGATCCAAAGCTCTTGGGGCCAGATGCATTTGGGAGTCTAGACTTTGAATTTTTTTTTTTTTTTTTTGAGATGGACTCTCCTTTGTCACCCAGGCTGGAGTGCAGTGTTGTGATCTTGGCTGACTGCCACCTCCACCTCCCAGGTTCAAGCCATTCTCCTGCCTCAGCCTCCCAAGTAGCTGTGATTATAGGCATGCACCACCACACCCAGCTCATTTTTGTATTTTAGTAGAGATGGGTTTCACTATGTTGACCAGGCTGGTCTCGAACTCCTGACCTCAAGTGATCTGCCTGCCTTGACCTCCCAAAGTGCTGGGATTATAGGCGTGAGTCACCATGCCCAGCCTAGACTTTGAATATTAAGCAAGTCATACGGAGCCCATTTGGTATGTTACATAAGTCCCCTAGTAGGGCTGAGGAGCATTTGTGTAATCAAACACTAATAGGCCTTCAGTGAAATGCACGTTCATTCTCAGGGGAGTAACTAAAGACTATACAAAACCTCATGACAGCTCAAGTCAGCTCCTGCCACCAAATGGGTCTGGGAAAAACTGTTGGTTTTCTGAGCTTTTGAACATGTAGATTGTGGATGACAGATGTGGACCTGCATATTTCCCATCTTGCAGAGGGGACATCCTCACACACGAAGAGAGAAAGGGCCAGCCGTGGTGGCTCACGCCTATAATCCCAGCACTTTGGGAGGCTGAGGTGGGCAGATCATTTGAGGTCAGGAGTTCTAGACCAGCCTGGCCAACATGGTGAAACCCCATCTCTACTAAAAACACAAAAATTAGCCAGGCATGGTGGTGTGTGCCTGTGGTCCCAGGTCCAGAAGAGGCTGAGTCAGGAGGATCGATTTAGTCCAGAAATTGGAGGCTGCAGTGAGCTATGATCGTGGCCATGCACTCCAGCCTGGGCAACACAGTGAGACCCTGTCTCAAAAAAAAATTTTTTTTTTTTTTTGCTTTTGATAATCATTCATGTTCTGGGTACTTGTGGCTTATTCCTTATTTTGTATTTGTATTATTTATAATATTTGTATTTGCAATATTTGTATTATTGTGCTATATAGTAGTCCATCTTATCTTATTAATGACTTATTTGTATGTGCTACAGTGGACAGGCATCTGGGACTTTTCCAATCTGAAGCTGTTAGGAACACCACCACCATGAATATTCTTGTATGTGTTTTCTGGCTCTGGGGTGGAGTTGCTGGGTCATGGGGCAGGCACATTTTCATTTTTACTTCAGTAAAAAATGTCCAGTGGGCCAGGCACAATGGCTCATGCCTATAATCCCAGCACTTCGGGAAGCCAAGGCAGGAGGATCACTTGAGCTCAGGAGGTTGAGACCAGCCTGGCCAACGTGGTGAAACCCTGTCTCTACTAAAAATACAAAAATTAGCAGAGCATGGTGGCAGAGTAGCTGTAATCCCAGCTACCTGGGAGTCTGAGGCACAAGAATCACTTGAACCCAGAAGGTGGAGGTTGCAGTGAGTCGAGATCATGCCACTGCACTCCAGCCTGGGCGATAGAGTGAGATTCAGTCTCAAAAAAAAAAAAAAAAAAAAAAAAAAGCCCAGTGGTTTCCAAAGTGATTCCAAATGGATTCCACCAGGAATGTATGGGAGTTCTCTTTGATAGTATTTTTAGTGAATTGCAGTAACATTGCACTGTTTTGTGTTTGCTCATTTTCTTTTTTCTTTTCTTTCTTTTTTTTTTTTTTTGGAGATGGAGTCTCTGTCACCCAGGCTGGAGTGCAGTGGCGGGATCTTGGCTCACTGTAGCCTCAACTTCTGGGCTCAAGCGATCCTCCCACCTCAGCCTCTCTAATAACTGGGACTACACACACACGCCACCATGCCCTGCTAATTTTTTTGTAGAGACGGGGGTCTCACTATGTTGCCCAGGCTCGTCTTGAACTCGTGGGCTCAAGCGATCATCCCACCTTAGCCTCCCAAAGTGCTGGGATTACAGGTGTGAGCCATCGCACCCAGCTGTACATTTGCTTTTACATTGTCAAGGTGGAAACATCTACAGTCTGTTCTGTTTCCATATTTAAGCCCTACATGCTTTAATTGCAAAGTTTGCTGTGTTTTTTTAATCAGCTTTTTTGAGGTGTAATTTACATACCAAAAAATTCAGCCCTGTTAAAGTGGACAACTTTGTGGCTTTTAGTGACTTTACAGAGTTGTGCAACCATCACCACCGTAACAAAGCATGTTCATCACCCCCAAAATATCCCTTGTGCCTATTTGTAGTCACTCTGTTCCCAGCCTAGCCCAAGGCAACTACTAATCTACTTTCTGATCAAAAAGATTTGTCTTTTCTGGTCATTTCATAGAAGCACATCATATAATATGTGTCCTTTTGCATCTGGCCTCTTTCATGTAGCATATTGCTTTGGAGTTTATTCATACTATAGCATGTTTATTCCTTTTTACTGCTTAAAAATATTCTATTTTGTGGACATGGCACATTTTATATATCCATTCATCAGCTAATAGACATTTGGAGTGTTTCCAAATGTATAAAGCTGCTATGAACATTAGCATATGAGAGTTTGCATGGAGGTAGAAGGTGTATTTTCATTTCTCTTGGGTAGATAATCTAGTCGTAGAATTGCTAGGTTTCATATAAGTTTATGTTTAACTTTTTTTTTAATTTTTTTTTTTTTTTAGAGACAGGCTCTTATTCTGTCTCCCAAGCTGGAGGGTGGTGGCGCATTCATAGCTCACTGCAGCCTGGAACTCCTGGACTCAGGGGATCCTCCTACCTCGGCCTCCCAAAGTGCTGACATTACAGGCATGAGCCACTGCACCCAGCCATGTTCAACTTTTTTTTTTGGAGACAGAGTCTTGCTCTGTTGCCCAGGCTAGAGTGCAGTGGTACAGTCTTGGCTCACTGCAACCTCCACCTCCCAGGTTCAAGTGATTCTCCTGCCTTAGCCTCCCGAGTATCTGGGATTACAGGCGCCTACCACCATACCCGGCTAGTTTTTGTGTTTTTAGTAGAGACAGGGTTTCACCATGTTGGCCAGGCTGGTCTCGAACTCTTGACCTCAGGACTCCCAAAGTGCTGGGATTACAGGTATGAGCCACCGAGCCTGGCCTCAACTTTTAAAGAAACTGCCTAATGGTTTTCCAGGTTAGCTGTACATCTTACATCCCCACCAGCGATGCCTGAGGGTTCCAGTTTCTTTATATCCTCGACTACACCTGTCAGTATCGTCAGTTTGAGTAATAGCCAGGGTAGTGGGTATGAAGTGGTGTCTCATTGTGAATTTAATTGGCATTTCCCAGCTGGGCATGGTGGCTCATGCCCATAATCCCAGCACTTTGAGAGGTCAAGGAAGGAGGATCCCTTGATCCCAGGAGTTCAAGACCAGCCTGGGCAATATAGGAAGACCCATCTCTATAGAAAATTCAACAATTAGCTGAATGTGGTGGTGGGTGCATCTGTAGTCCCAGCTACTTGGGAGGCTGAAATGGGAGACTCACTTGAGCCCAGGAGGTTGAGGCTGCAGTGAGCCAAGATCGTGCCACTGCACTCCAGCCTGAGCAACAGAGAAGACCATATCTCAAAAAAAAAAAAAAATTGCATTTTCCTAATGACTAATGAAGTGGAGCATCATTTCATGTGCTCATTACTCATTTGTATATGTTCTTTGGTGAAATGTCTACTCAAATCTTTTGTCTTTCTTTCTTTTTTATTTTTATTTTTTTGAGATGGAGTTTCACTCTTGTTGCCCAGGCTGGAGTGCGATGGCGTGATCTCAGCTCACTGCAACCTCTGCCTCCCAGGTTCAAGCGATTCTCCGGCCTCAGCCTCTTGTGTAGCTAGGATTACAGGCTAATTTTTTGTATTTTTAGTAGAGACAGGGTTTCACCATGTTGGCCAGGCTGGTCTTGAACTCCTGACCTCAGGTGATCCACCTGCCTCAGCCTCCCAAAGTGCTGGGATTACAGGCGTGAGCCACTGTGCCCGGCCTTTTGTCCATTTTTTAACTGGTTTATCTCATTGAGTTTTATGAGTTATTTATATATTCTATACACAAGTGCTTTATCAGATATATAATGTGCAAGTACAAAAGTTTTAACTTATGATAATGTCTAATTTATCCAGTTTTTCTTTTATGAATCATAGTTTTTGGTGTTGGATCTAAAAAATCTCTGCTTAACACAAGATCATGAGATTTTCTCCTGTTTTCTTCTCAAAGTTTTATAGTTTTAACTCTTAAATTTAGATGTATGATTAATTTCATGTTGATTCTGGTATGAGGTAATAGTCTAAATTCATCTTTTTGCATATAGATTTCCAGTTGTCCCAGCACCATTTGTTGAAAAGAGTCTTTTTCCCAAGAAAACCCGTAAGTAAAGCCAATGTAAAGAGAATGCCCCTAGCCTCCAGGTCAAAAGGATTCCTTTTTTGTGAACTTTATCAAATAGCTGTAACACAGATACAGTTTTATGTTTTTCCTAGAATTTCTCATAGCTTTAATTTTTCCATTTTGAAAGAGGCGTTTTTCTGTTAGTAACTCATCCAATCCATTTCTTTGGATTTCTTTTTCTTCTTGTAGACATTCTTCCTTTTATAGTATCCTGTTCTTACTCTGTTTAGAACATCTTTGCAAATCTAAGTGTTCCCAGGACTAGCTACATAATTTGCATGGCCCATTGCAAAATGAAAATGCAAGGTCCCTTGTTCAGAAATAATTAAGAATGTTGAGGCCAGGCTCGGTGGCTGAGGCCTGTAATCCTAGCACTTTGGGAGGCTGAGACGGGAGAATCATTTGAGGCCAGGAGTTTGAGACCAACCTGGGCAACATAGTGAGACCCCATCTCCACACACACACACACACACACACACACAAAATTTTTAATTTAAGAGAATGTTGGCCGGGCATGGTGGCTCATGCCTGTAATCCCAGCACTTTGGGAAGCCGAGGTGGGTGGATCACCTGAGGTCAGGAGTTCGAGACCAGCCTGACTAACATGGTGAAACCCTGTCTCAACTAAAAATACAAAAATTAGCCGGGCGTGGTAGTGCGCACCTGTAGTCCCAGCTACTCGGAAGGCTGAGACAGGAGAATCGCTTGAACCCAGAAGTGGAGGTTGCAGTGAGCCAAGATCACGCCACTGCACTCCTGCCTGGGTGACAGAGTAAGACTCCATCTCAAAAAATAAATAAATAAATAAAAATAAATAAATAAAAAGAATGTTGAGGCTGGGAGCAACGGCTCATGCCTGTAATTCCAGCATTTTGAGAGGCTGAGGTGGGCAGATTGCCTGGGGTCAGGAGTTCAAGACCAGCCTGCCCAACATGGTGAAACCCCGTCTCTACTAAAAATATAAAAATTAGCTGGGAATGGTGGCTCATGCCTGTAATCCCAGCACTTTGGGAGGCTGAGGTGGGTGGATCACCTGAGGTCAGGAGTTCAAGACCAGCCTGGCCAACATGGCGAAACCTCGTCTCTACTAAAAATACAAAAATTAGCCTGGCTTGGTGGTTCGTGCCTGTAATCCCAGCTACTCAGGAGGCTGAGGCTGGAGAACCGCTTGAACCCAGGAGGTGGAGATTGCAGTGAGCTGAGATCATTCTGTTGCACTCCAGCCTGGGCAACAAGAGCAAAACTCCATCTCAAAAATAAATAAAAATAAAAATACTAAAATTAGCCAGATGTGGTGGTGGGCGCCTGTAGTCCCAGTTACTCAGGAGGCTGAGGCACGAGAATCACTTGAACCCAGGAGGCGGAGGTTGCAGTGAGCTGAGATTGTGTCATGCACTCCAGCCTGGGCGACAGAGAGAGACTCCATCTCAAAAAAAAAAAAGAAAAGAAAAAGAATGTTGAGATGGCCACAGTGGAGCATTGAAAAGAGGGTGGGCCACATGTGAACGCACAGGTTGCATGCCCATGAAGCCAGTCCTGAGTGTACCAGTTAGGGTTTTTTCTTTTCCTCCATGTTCTTTTGGTCCTGTGAATTGTCTGTTTCCTCTGGGGTCAGTTCACTTTCCTTCTGCTTGTTTACTTAAATGTTTCTCTTTCAGGCTGCTAGTTTTCTTAAACATCTGATGGTCCTTGCTATCCCGCCACTTTTTCAAACAAGAGGCTGGGTGACTGTGGTTTTTTGTTTGCTTGTTTTTAAGTCACTGGTATGACATTTGGGGCTGTTATAAATACAGTCCTTTCCCACTGGCCTCTTGGTCAAGTTGGATGGATGACTGTGAACTCTGTGTTCTGTGGACAGCACTTGTTCATGTTAGCAGGGACAAAAACAGTCTTTGTGCTGGGAGCTCACTCCCGGATGCCAGATGGGGAGGGCTTTACTCAGTAACACCAGCAGCATCCACACTTCCCAGGGGCTGCATGCAATTTTTTTTTCTTTTCTTTTTTTCTTTGAAATGGGGTCTCACTCTGTCACCCAGGCTGGAGCACAGTGGTGTGATCATAGTTCACTGCAGCCTCCACCTCCTGAGCTCAAGCACTCCTCCCACCTCAGCCTCCCGAGTAGCTGGGACTACAGGCGCTTGCAACCATGTCTGGTTAATTTTATATTTTGTAGAGATGGAGGTCTTGCTATGTTGCCCAGGCTGGTCTGGAACTCCTGGCCTCAAGCAATCCCCCTGCCTCATTCTCCCAAAATGTTGGGATTACAGGCATAAGCCACCATGCCTGGCTAAAATAGTTAAAAATTAATAAGGGATGGGAGGCTGAGGCAGGAGAATCGCTTGAACCTGGGAGGCAGAGGTTGCAGTGAGCCGAGATCACGCCACTGCACTCCAGCCTGGGTGACAGGGTGAGACTCCGTCTCAAACAAACAAACAAAAATTAATAAGGGAGAATCGGGTAGAGGAAAGTATCCTGAAGGTATGAAAAGGAAACCATTCTGTGTAAACTTTTTATAAGATTGACAATACCAATACCAGGTGCTGGCAACTGCAATGCATATAGAATTTTTGGGAATGCAGATGGCACAATCATGCTGGAAAACTGCTGGGCATTTTCTTGTAACGTTAAATATACACCTGCCATGTGACTCAAAAATTCTACTCCTAAGTATCTACTCAAGAGCAATGAAAATGGCTGGACACGATGGCTCACTCTTACAATCCCAGCACTTTGGGAAGCCGAGGCAGGCAGATCACTTGAGGTCAGGTGTTTGAGACCAGCCTGGCCAACATGGTGAAACCCTGTCTCTACTAAAAATACAAAAATTAACTAGGTGTGGTGGCGCACACCTGTAATCCCAGCTACTTGGGAGGCTGAGGCAGGAGAACTGCTTGAACCCGGGAGGTGGATGTTGCAGTGAGCCGAGATTGCACCACTGCACTCCAGCCTTGGTGATAGAACAAGACTCTGTCTCCAAAAAAAAAAAGCAAAGAAAACATATGTCCACACAAACACTTGTACATGAATATTCATAGCAGCCTTATTCATAATACCCCTAAGCTGGAAACAACCCAAATGTCCATCATACTGAGTGGATAAACAGGTTGTAGATTATGTGTTCAGTGGACTATTACCCAGCAATAAAAAGGAATAGACTACTGATTGATACACAACAAGTGGATGGGCCAAGCGCGGTGGCTCATGCCTGTAATCCCAGCAATTTGGGAGGCCAAGCTGGGAAGATCGCTGAGCCCAGGAGTTCAAGGCTAGCCTGGGCAACATAGCAAGACCCTGTCTCAAAAAAAATTTAAAAATTAGCCAGGCATGGTGGGGTGCACCTGTGGTCCCAGCTACTTGGGAGGCTGAGATGGGAGGATTGCTTGAGCCTGGGAGGTCATGGCAGCAGTGAGCTATGATGGCGCCACTGCCCTCCAGCCTGGGCAACAGAGTGAGACCCTGCCTCAAAAAAAAAAAAAAAGTATGAGTGAATCACACGGACATTATGCTGAAGGAGAGGACAAATAACCCTAAGCCATGCCTACAACTCAAGGAATATTACAGGCATGAGCCACTGTGCCTGGCCCAGATGACTTCTTCACAAGGAGACACATACTGTGTGTATCAGTCAGGATCCAACCAGGAGACAAACCACACAGTAATTTAAACAGCGATTGTTTAATATACAGAATTGTTAACTATGATAGGGGATTTGAGTAAGAGGAACTGGTTACTAAGAAATAAAGAGAATGCTAACGAATGTAGAAATAGACTGGGCACAATGGCTCACACCTGTAATCCCAGCACTTTGGGAGGCAAGGCAGGTGGATCACGAGGTCAAGAGATCGAGACCATCCTGGCCAACATGGTGAAACCCCGTCCCTACTACAAAAAGTAGCTGGGCGTGGTGGCGTGTGCCTGTAGTCCCAGCTACTCAAGGAGGCTGAGGCAGGAGAATAGTTTGAACCCAGGAGGCAGAGGTTGCGGTGAGCCGAGATCTTGCCACTGCACTCCAGCCTGGGTGACAGAGAGAGACTCCATCTCAAAAAAAAAAGGAAAGAAAAAGAAAAAAGAAAGAAAGAAATAGCAGATACAAGGAGCAGCCACTCCTCCTAAGTCTAAGATAGCCCGAGAAAGATGAGAGCCCCAGGCTGAGACCCCGACCTTGCTGGAGTAGTCTTGGCCATGGCTCACCGAAGGACAAAGGCATCCCTATGGTGCGGCACCAGTAGAATGCGGCAGAAGTCCATTCAGTAAGATGGTGGGGAGAGCAGCTGACAGGGAAGTGTCTCAGCTGAGGTGGGTGCTGCTGACTGCCATATTTCAGGAGCCATGTGCCAGAGAAACTTCCTGACACTAAAGAAACCGCACGCATGTAGGAGTCAGAGGCTGGAGAAGCATGCTCGCTGCAGGAGTAGCTGCCCTGCAGGAGCCAAGTCTGGAAACTGGAAGCCAAACCCTTTCCTCCTACAACGTCTCTCCAGCGCCCTCTACTGAAAAAAACTTAGCATCATGTCAGTCAGCAAAGGAAGAAGATTTAAAGGGCCAAACTCCAATTATTATTTATTTTTTTTTATTTTTTTTTTTTGAGACGAAGTTTCGCTCTTCTTGTCCAGGCAGGAGGCAGGCGTAAGCCACCGTTCCCGGAGCTTTTTTTTTTTTTTTTTTTTTTAACAGCGTCCCTGGGTGGGCTAGAACCAAACTCCAGTTTCGCAGCTTAGAACAATGAGGTCGTAGGTTGATAGCCGACACTCTATATGATTCCATTTACGTGAAATTATAGAAAAGAAAAATTGAATTTATAGTAACAGAAAGAAGCCGGGCACGGTGGCTCACGCCTGTAATCCCAGCACTTTGGGAGGCCGACGCAGGCGGATCACTTGAGCTCAGGAGTTCAAGACCAGCCTGGCCAACATGGTGAAACCCTGTCTCTACTAAAAATACAGAAATTAGCCGGGTGTGGTGGTGCGCACCTGTAATCCCAGCTACTCCGGAGGCTGAAGTAGAAAAAATCTCTTGAACCCGGAAGGCGGAGGTTGCAGTGAGCCGAAATCGCGCCCCTGCACTCCAGCCTGGAGGACAGAGCAATACTACGTCTCAAAAACAAAACAAAACAAAACAGAATAGTAGTTGACTTTGGGTGGGAGTAGGGAGGTTGGCTGGGAAGGGATAAACCTTTTGGGGCAATAGAAATGTTCCATATCGGCTGGGAGCGGTGGCTCACACCTGTAATCGCAGCACTTTGGGAGGCCGAGTTGGGTGGATCACCTGAGGTCAGGAGTTTGAGACCAGCCTAGCTAACATGTGAAATCCCATCACTACTGAAAATATAAAAATTAGCTGGGTGTGGTGGCGCACGCTTGTAATCTCAGCTACTTGGGAAGCTGAGGCGGAAGGATTGCTTGAACTTGGGAGGAAGAGATTGCAGTGAGCTGAGATCATGCTACTGCACTCCAGCCTGGGTGACAGAGTAAGACGCCATCTCAAAAAAAAAAAGATTTAAAATCAATTGAAATAAAATTGCTACATTTTAAACAGATACAATTAATAAAACTTAACTAATAAAGTAAAAATAATACTTTATAAAATGAACACAGTTAATTGAGGCTGCTGCTGTGTTAGTAAAACCCGTTCAATACAATGAACCTTGAAGATGAAAGTATATTATCTGGGCCATGCGCAGTGGCTCACGCCTGTAATCCCAACACTTTAGGAGGCCAAGGCGGGAGGATCACTTGAGGTCAGGAGTTCGAGACCAGACTGGCCAACACAGTGAAACCCCGTCTCTACTAAAAATACAAAAAATCAGCCTGGCGTGGTGGTGCGCACCTGTGATCCCAGTTACTCAGAAGGCTGAGGCAGGAGAATTGCTTGAACTTGGGAGGCGGAGGTTGCAGTGAGCGGAGATCATGCCGTTGCACTCCAGCCTGGGCGACAGAGCAAGACTCCATATCAAAAAAAAAAAAAAAGTGGCCGGGTGCAGGGGCTCATGCCTGTAGTCCCAGCACTTTGGGAGGCCGAGGCAGGTGGTTCACCTGAGGTCAGGAGTTCAAGACCAGCCTGGCCAACATGTGAAACCCTGTCTTCACTAAAAATACAAAAATTAGCCGGTGTGGGTGGCACGCACCTGTAATCCCAGCTACTCGAGAGGCTGAGGCAGGAGAATCCCTTGAATCTGGGAGGCGGAGGTTACAGTGAGCCGAGATCGTGCCACTGCACTCTAGCCTGGGGGACAGAGCGAGACTCTGTCTCAAAAAAAAGATATTATTTGGTTTGTTTCCGAAAGTAGCTGGACAGACCAGGTGAAAATAGAGAGAAATGTCTAAGGAGCGCCAGCTGTTCGGGTCTCCTCACTTCAGCTGCTAGACTAGGATGGAAGAAGCCTCAGATGACCCAGCCCCATCCACCATCTGACGGCAAAGGCACAAGTTCCCTAAGTGAGGACCGCATAGCTGATCCCAGTCCCCAGAGCCATAAAAAAAAAAAAGGAATAATGGCTTATTATAAATATACTCTGGCAAAATTATACTCTGGACAGACCAAAAACAAACTGGTATCATGATTCACAGAGGTATTTTTTGTGCAGAATTTTCCAGTCAGTATAAAAAGGTCTCTGGCCTCAAAAAAACTATACAATTTGAGAATCTGCTGAGGAGATACTTATAAGCTAACTCTTAATCATTTTCACAGATTCTTCTATTTTAAAATAGTAACATCTTTTGTTTGATGGCTTTGAGGAAAGTTTTTGGACATCTTTTTGTTCCTTTCCATGGACTGCCATATCTGTTTTTCTTGTTTTCATCATTTTTAGCAAACGTTGAGGGTTTTGGGTATGTGTTCTGTTTTGGTAGTGGTGGTGGTGTTTTTTATTTGTTTGTTTTTGGAGACAGAGTCTCACTCTGTCACCCAGGCT
This sequence comes from Homo sapiens, assembly GCF_000001405.40. Classification (NCBI taxonomy): domain Eukaryota; kingdom Metazoa; phylum Chordata; class Mammalia; order Primates; family Hominidae; genus Homo; species Homo sapiens. The sequence continues at coordinate 369,537 of NW_014040929.1, read as the reverse complement.
GGAATGCAGTAGTGCAATCATAGCTCACTGTACCCTTGAACTCCTGGCCACAAGCAATCCTCTCACCTCAGCCTCCCGAGTATGTGGTACTACAAGTGTACACCACCAGGTCCAGCTAATTTTTTAATGTTTACTTTTTTAGAGATGGGGTTTCACTGTGTTGCCCAGGCTGGTCTCGAACCCCCGGGTTCAAGCGATCCTCCCACCTCAGCCTCCCAAAGTGCTGGGATGACATGCATAAGCCATGGTACCCAGCTCATTTTTAGCAAACCTTTTATAGAAAGTGCACAAATTGCACAGCCTAATGAATCCCAGCACTTTGGGAGGCCAAGGTGGGCTGATCACAAGGTCAAGAGTTCGAGACCAGCCTGGCCAACATGGTGAAATCCCGTCTCTACTAAAAAAAAAAAAATACAAAAATTAGCTAGGCATGGTGGCGTGTGCCTGTAATCCCAGCTACTCTGGAGGCTGAGGCAGGACAATTGCTTGAATCCAGGAGGTGGAGATTGCAGTGGGCCGAGATTGGGCCATTGCACTCCAGCCTGGGCAACAGAGGAAGACTCTGTCTCAAAAAAAAAAAAAGAAAGAAAGAAAGAAAGAAAGACAGGCAGAGGCTGCATACTCTTTTATGATCCAGCCTCAGAAATCCCTTAGCAGGCCGGGCACAGTGGCTCCTACCTATAATCCCAGCACTTTGGGAGGCCAAGGCGACAGGATCACTTGAGCCCAGGAAGAGACCAGCCTGGGCAACATAGGGAGACCCCTCACTTCTAGAAAAAAAAAATATAAAACAAACGAAGCTGGGCATGGTGGCATGTGTCTGCAGTCCCATCTACTCAGGAGGCTGAGTTGGGAGGATCGCTTGAGCCCAGGAGTTCGAGGCTTCAGTGAGCCATAATCACGCCACTACACTCCAACCAGGCGACAGAGTGAGACTTTGTCTCTTAAAAAGAGAGAGAAAGAGAGAGAGAATGAAATCCCTTAGCAATGTCCCTTCTGCAGTGCTCTGAAAGTTGAGGCAGTTGCAAAAGCCTGCACGTGCCCAGGGGAGGAATGTGGACCCCACAGCTTCACGAGCAGTGGTGAACTGAAAAAGCGTGTCAGATAGGAAATGTTCTCATAGCCACTTTTGAAAAATACAGTCTGCTGTAGTAGCATCCTGGGTCCCTTTGGGTAGCTGAGTACCAATAGCATTCCCCGGTCACTCTGACAGCCAGTAACCTTCCTCCAAACACACACTCTCCCAAAAACCCTGGAAGCAGGCAATACTAGGCCCTACTTGTCCTATTGTGACCCAGCTAGTAGTTGGCATTCAATCTTGCAGTGGGTACTTTTCAACCTTTCCCAAAATTGGCCAGAAGCCCCTCTCAGGCTTATTCTCCAAAATAAGCCTGTCTTTGACTGTTGAGCCACTTTTCGTGTTTCTTTCCTCTTTCCTTTTTTTTTTTTTTTTTTTTTTGAGACAGTTTCACTCTTGTTGCCCAGGCTAGAGTGCAGTGGCACAATCTCAGCTTACCACAATCTCCACCTCCTGGGTTCAAGGGATTCTCCCACTAGTCTCCCAAGTAGCTGGGACTACAGGAGCATGCCACCACACCTGGCTAATTTTGTATTTTTAGTAGAGACGGGTTTCACCATGTTGGCTAGGCTGCTCTCAAACCCCTAACCTCAGGTGATCCACCCACCTTGGTCTCCCAAAGTGCTGAGATTACAGGCATGAGCCACTGTGACTGGCCACAAACTTTTTTTTTTTTTTTTTTGAGGCAGGATCTCACTCTATTGCCTGGGCTGGAATACAGTGGCCCCTTCACGATTCACCACAGCCTCAACCTCCCTGGCTCAGGTGATCCTTCTCCCCTCAGCTCCCAAGTAGCTGGGACTACAGGTGCATGACACTATGCCTGACTAATTTTTTTGTATTTCTTTTGTAGAGAGAGGGTTTCGTCATGTTGCCTAGGCTGGTCTTGGACTCCTGGGCTCAAGCAATCCTCCCGCCTCCACCTCCCAAAGTGCTGGAATTACAGGCGTAAGCCACCACACTGGGGCCCCATACAAGCATTTAATATGGTTTGTGTGGATAGCTGAGGGCTCATTCAGTACATTTCTTGAACATCTCTGCTCCTTGGTGAAGTCTGGCTGCCCTTGTTGGGCGAGGGGCCTACCCCTAGCCCCAGAGATCCTCCTTTTGCCAGTGGGAACACACTCCTAAGAAGAACAGGAACTGCCGGGCGCAGTGGCTCAAGTCTGTAATCCCAGCACTTTGGGAGGCCTAGGCGGGCGGATCACAAGGTCAGGCATTCAAGACCAGCCTGGCCAACATGGTGAAACCCTGTCTCTACTAAAAATACAAAAGTTAGCCAGGCGTGGTGGCAGGTGCCTGTAATCCCAGCTACCCGGGAGGCTGAGGCAGAGAATCGCTTGAACCCGGGAGGCGGAGGTTGCAGTGAGCCGAGATCATGCAACTGCACTCCAGCCTGGGCGACAGAGTGAGACTCCGTCTCAAAAAAACAAAAAAGAAGAAGAGTGGGAACTAAGAACTCCTCCTAAGAAGAACTCCAGGAAACTAAACTCTGGTGCACATCACACCCATGCCAGGCAGACTGGTAGACTTGTTTATAAACCTAGGGAATTTATTTATTTATTTTTGAGACAGAGTCGCTCTGTCACCCAGGCTGAAGTGCAGTGAGTGATGTGATCTCTGCTCGCTGCAACCTCCACCTCGCGGGTTCAAGCGCCGGGCCTCAGTGAACTATTAATGCAACTCAGAACCACCTGGAGAAAAGCACAGCTTGGTCTTTGTAAAGTCTGTCTCCACAGCTTCATTCTTTCTGCGGTAGGAATAAAGATGATGTCAGAGGCTGGGCATGGTGGCTCACACCTGTGAAAATTAATATTAATATTTTAAAAATTAATGTGAAACACTAAATTATGTTAGTTGCCATTATTATGACACATCATTTTTAAAAAGTGACAGCAACTATTTTATTTATTTATTTATTTTGAGGCAGAGTCTCGCTGTGTGCAGTGGCATGATCTTGGCTCACTGCAACCTCCACCTCCCAGGTTCAAGCGATTCTGCTGCCTCAGCCTCCTGAGTAGCTGGGATTACAGGCTCCCACCACCATGCCTGGCTAATTTTTGTATTTTTAGTAGAGACAGGTTTCACCATGTTGGCCAGGCTGGTCTTGAACTCCTGACCTCAAGTGATCCACCCACCTCCGCCTCCCAAAATGCTGGGATTACAGGCATGAGCCACTGTGCCTGGCTGACAGCAACTATTTTAGCTGTGACATTTTCATTTAGTGGCATTTATTGGCCCTTATTAAGCCACGGTGCTGAGCATTTAAGCTGGATCAGCTCATGAATTCTATCATCTTGTTTAATGGGCAAAACTCTCCTTTGAGGATGCCCTTGGTTAAGAGGCTTTAATGATCTAATGCTTGTTATCTTCATGTGCCCAATAAGTGCTCAATTCATGTCAGCTATTGTCATTTTTAAACAAATTAAGGTTTTACTTAAAAAAAAGAAATAAGCCTGTGTCAGGCAAGTAGTCCATGAATGTAGCAAAAATTCCTGACATCATCTTTTTTTTTTTTTTTTGAGACAGAGTCTCAGTCTATCGCCCAGGCTGGAGTGCAGAGGCACGATCTCAGCTCACTGCAACCTCCACCTCCCGGGTTCAAGTGATTCTCCTGCCTCAGCCTCCTGAGTAGCTGGGATTACAGGTGCCCACCACCACGCTCCGCTACTTTTTGTATTTTTTGTAGAGATGGGGTTTCGCCATGTTGCCCAGGCTGGTCTTGAACTCCCGACCTCAGGTGATCCGCTCACCTAAGCCTCCCAAAGTGCTGGGATTACAGGTGTGAGCCACCATGCCTGGACTAATATTAAATTAATATCACTCTTATTTAGGAGCCTACAGGGGCTTTTCCTAAGTGCTTTAAAATACTCATTTCATCCTCACAACAGCCCTATGATGGAGGCACCGTTAGCAGCCCCATTTTCAGAAAGGGAAACTGAGGTATAAAGAGATTAAGTGACTTGCCATTGGTCATATAATTTATAGCAAGAAGTGGAGCTGGAGCCGAGCACAGTGGCTCACACCTATAATCCCAGCACTTTGGGAGGCCAAGGCAGCAGGATCCTTTGAGCCCAAGAGTTTAAGACCAGCCTGGGCAACATGGTGAAACCCTGTCTCTACTAACGATACAAAAATAAGCAGGGCCTGGTGGCACGCACCTGTAGTCCCAGCTAATCAGGAGGCTGAGGCACGAGAATCACTTGAACCTGGGAGCCAGAGGTTGCAGTGAGCTGAGATTGTGCCACTGCACTCCAGTCTGGGTGACAGAGGGAGACTCTGTCTCAAAAAAAAAAAAAAAAAGAAAGAAAGAAAATGTTTTAGAAAGAATGGAAGCAGAAAATACTGGGTAGACAGCTCTTTTGAGAAGTTTTACCACAAAGAGAAACAAAGACGCTGCATGCGGTGACTCATGCCTCTAATCCCAGCAGTTTGGGAGGCTGAGGTGGGAGGATCACTTGAGCCTGGGAGGTTGAGGCTGCAGTGAGCCATGATCACACCACTGCACTCCCACCCGAGTGAAGAAGCAAGACCCTGTCTCAAAAATAAAAATAAAAGGCCAGTTGCAGTGGCTCACGCCTGTGATCCCAGCACTTTGGGAGGCCAAGGCGGGCGGATCATGAGGTCAGGAGATCGAGACCATCCTGGCTAACATGGTGAAACCCCGTCTCTACTAAAAATACAAAAAAATTAGCTGGGCATGGTGGTGGGCGCCTGTAGTCTCAGTTACCCGGGAGGCTGAGGCAGGAGAATGGCGTGAACCCAGGAGGCGGAGCTTGCAGTGAGCCGACATCGCACCACTGCATTCCAGGCTGGGCAACAGAGCAAGACTCCGTCTCAAAAATAATAATAATAATAATAATAATAATAATAATAATAATAATAATAATAAAATAACACATTGTCAGGGCAGGCGCAGTGGCTCACGCCTGTTAATCCCAACACCTTGGGAGGCTGAGGTGGGCGGATCACCTGAGGTCAGGAGTTTGAGAACAGCCTGGCCAACATGGTGAAACCCTGTCTCTACTAAAAATATAAAAATTAGCCAGGTGTGGTGGCGGGCGCCTATAATCCCAGCTACTCAGGAGGCTGAGGCAGGAGAATTGCTTAAACCTGGGAGGTGAAGGCTGCAGTGAGCTGAGATCGCGCCACTGCACTCCAGCCTGGGCAACAAGAGTGAAACTCTGTCTCAAAAAAAAAAAAAAAAAACACATTCTCGGCCCGGCGCAGTGGCTCACACCTGTAATCCTAGCACTTTGGGAGGCTGAGGCAGGTGGATTACCTGAGTTCGGGAGTTCGAGACCAGCCTGGCCAACATGGTGAAACCCTGTCTCTACTAAAAATATAAAAATTAGCCAGGCGTGGTGGCAGAGGCCTGTAATCCCAGCTACTTGGGAGGCTGAGGTAGGAGAATCGCTTGAACCCAGGAGGTGGAGGTTGCAGTGAGCTGAAATCGCGCCACTGCACTCCAGCCTAGGCCACAGATCGAGACTCCATCTCAAAAAAGTAAATAAATAAAAAATAACACATTCTCTGCACACACCCTTGCCCACTTTGGCTTCCTCCTGCATGAGACCCTGGTTAAATCCAGCCTTCCTCTCTGCCGTGCCTGCACCCACACAGCTTGAGTGAGCTAAAAAACAACACAGCCCCCTGGCCAGGCTAATTTCAAGTCTGTGAACTTGACCCTCAGGCGGACCCCAATGCTGCCTGGCAGCCATATGACATTTCTCTGATCCCCTCCTTCCTCCTGTCTTCTAGACAACTAATTCACACCTTTTCCCTTCTCCTCTAATCCTTTCCAACACCTCCTCCCCCCCTTTCACTCTCCCTTGGCTTCTTATTTTGCAGAGAAAATGCAAGAGATGAGAAGTGAACTTCCACAGCCACCCCCGCCTCTACCACCTACCTGCACCCTTGCCCACACCCGTTCTCCTGCTGTGACTGTCCCATCACCTGCTCCCACCTTCCCGCCCACTTCCAGCCACCGTCCCTGGTTCTCACCTCTCTCTGCTGCTCATTCAGTTTCCCCCATGCACTGGATCTCCTGTTAGCCCACACAGCATCCTGTCTCCCATCTCAAAACAAACCCTCTCTCTTTTTTTGTTTTTGTTTTTGTTTTGTTTTGAGACAGGGTCTCACTTTGCCGCCCAGGCTGGAGTGCAGTGGTGCGATCTCAGCTCATTGCAACCTCTGCCTCCTGGGTTCAAGCAATTCTCCTGCCTTGGCCTCCCGAGTAGCTGGGATTACAGGTGCGCCACCACACCCAGCTAATTTTTGTATTTTTAGTAGAGATGGGGTTTCACTATGTTAGCCAGGCTGGTCTCAAACTACTGACCTCAAGTGATCTGCCCACCTCAGCCTCCCAAAGTGCTGGGATTACAGGTGTGAGCTACCGTGCCCAGCCCAAACCCTCTCTTGACTTCACCTCCCCTTCTAGCTACAGCCCCACTTTTTTTGCTATTCTTTTTATTTTATTTAGAGACAGGGTCTCGCTTTGTTGCCCAGGCTGGAGTACAGTGGCATAATCATAGCTCACTGCAGCCTCCAACTCCCGGGCTCCAGCGATCATCCCACCTTAACCTCTGGAGTAGGTGGGACTACAGGTGTGCACCACCACACCCGGCTAATTTTTTCATTTTATTTTTTGTACAGGTGGAGTATCGCTGTGTTGCCCAGGCTGATCTCAAACTCCTGGCCTCAAGCAGTCCTCCCACCTTGCCCTCCCAAAGTGCTGGAATTACAGGCATGAGCCAGCGTGCCAGGTCAAGAATGTTTTTAATGATTAACCATGGAATTTAAGCTGGCTAAGGAAGAAATGAGGGCATGGGAGGGTGAGGGGGAGTAAAATATGAAAGGGACAACGGATGGGAGATCACAGTGGGTTGGAAGGATCATGCGAGTGGGGCACTGGAGGGAATGAGGTGGAAAGAAAAAGTGATGGGTGGAGAGTGAGTGTGAGATTGAGGTTCTGAAGAGGCTGCTGTTATTCAAACAAGGTCTGGGTTTGACCACGAGAGGGAGATGTTGGGGAAGGAAAAAGTCACTAGAGAGAGGTCAGGGAACAGAGAGGTTGGGGCTGCGGAAGAACTATCTGGTTATAGAAATCACTGAGAATGATGCTAAGAGCAGCGGGAGCGGCCGTGAGCCCAGAGCTAAAATTAGGGAGAAGAGAGGAGTCATGATCTGGGTCAGCAGATGACGCATGAAGCAAGGTAGTGATGAGATTCATCGCTGGGGGTTTTGGGGAGGGTGGAGGGAGAATGGTCAGGAAGTAGCTCCCAGGAGCACGGAGACCTCCCCACTTGGAAGGCCCACAGGAGAGCTGGGTTCCAGTTAGAGCAAGAAGGTGGTAGGAATGTTCAGAGAAGTAACTGAGGCAAGAAGAGATTTTGTTGAAGATGGGTCATGGGTTCCAAAGGTCACAGTAGCTGGCACACATTGGGGTATGGGGTAGAAATGGTTTCTTCCGCAGTGGGTTTCCTTGTGGGTCTGTAACCCGACTGAGGTTTGGCCGCTCAACACTCAAAAGCCAAACTCAGGCCAGGCGTGGTGGCTCACGCCTGAAATCCCAGCATTTTGGGAAGCTGAGACAGGTGGATCACTTGAGGTCAGGAGTTTGAGACCAGCCGGCTAACATGGTGAAACCCCATCTCTACTACAGAAATTACTGGCTCGGTGTGGTGGCACACATCTGTAATTCCAGCTACTTGGGAGGCTGAGGCAGGAGAATCGCTTGAACCCGGGAGGCGGAGGTCGCAGTGAGCCAAGATTGTGCCACTGCACTCCAGCCTGGGCAACAGAGTAAGACTCGGTTTCAGAAAAGAAAGCCAAACTCGGGCCGAGCGTGGTGGCTCAAGCCTATAATCCCAGCACTTCGGGAGGCCGAGGTGGGTGGATCACCTGAGGTCTGGAGTTCGAGACTAGCATGGCCAACATGGTGAAACTGTCTCTCCTTAAAGATACAAAAATTAGCCAGGTGTGGTGGTGCATTCCTGTAGTCCCAGCTACTCGGGAGGCTGAGGCAGGAGAATCACTTGAACCTGGGAGACAGAGGTTGCAGTGAGCCGAGACGGGCCACTGCATTCCAGCCTGGGTGACAGAGTGAGGCTGCCTCAAAAAAAAAAAAAAAAATAGAAAGCCAAACTCAAGAGAGATGACAGTTGGTGGGAGGAAAAGCAAGTTTATTTGGAGAGCCAGCAAACCGAGAACACAGTGGACTATCATCCTAAAGTACCATCTTAAATCAGTACAATTTTTTTTTTTTTTAGGGGCAGAGGGAAGAGAAGGGCATTGTGATCAAGAGGTGACCAACAGGCCAGGCGCAGTGACTCATACCAATTCCAGCACTTTGGGAGGCTGAGGCAGGAGGATCACTTGAACCCAGGAATTCAAGACCAGCCAGGGCAATGTAGTGAGACCCCATCTCTACAAAACAATAAATAAAATAAAAAACTAGCTGGGCATAGTGGCATGCACCTATAGTCCCAGCTACTTGGGAGGCTGAGGCAGGAGGATCACTCGAGCCCAGGAGGTAGAGGCTATAGTCCTGGTTTCTAGCTCCATAAAAAAGTAATAATAATAAAAATAAGGAGGTGACCACTGCAGACATCTGAGTGCCAGCTAGGGTCCGAGGAGGTTGATGACTTCTTTGTCCTTGGTTGGGTCACAATGCCCCTATAAATCTTTGAAAAAACAGGCTGGGCGTGGTGGCTCACACCTGTAATCCCAGCACTTTGAGAGGCCGAAGTGGGTGGATCACGAAGTCAGGAGTTCGAGACCAGCCTGGCCAAGATGGTGAAACCCCGTCTCTACTAAAAATACAAAAATTAGCCGGGCGTGGTGGCGGGCGCCTGTAGTTCCAGCTACTCGGGAGGCTGAGGCAGGAGAATCGCTTGAACCCAGGAAGCGGAGGTTGCAATGTGCCAAGATCGTGCCACTGCACACTCTAGCCTGGGCAACAGAGCAAGACTGTGTCTCAAAAAAAAAAAATCTTTGACAAAACATAGTTGTTTACATACTTCTTTAATCCCAGAGTTAGTTTTAAAAACTACATGATTGCTGTTTTTGCATATTATCTCAGCGGTCTAAAATTAACCTAGCCATGTGCAGGAATGGGTAAAGTCCCCTTAAACAAAAATGGGGTTAGTTATGTTAGTTCTTTTGCCATTTCACTGGTCATATACCTGAAGCGCTTAGCCTGACACAATTGAACGCCAGACGGAAGCCGTGATCAGCGGTCCTGACGGGGGTCAGAGTCAGACCAGGGGTCTTTTACCCAAGTGGGGAAGATTGGGAAAGGCCTAGGATCAGAGAGGGAAATGGGTCCCTGGTTGCCCATGGACCTAATGGGGTCTCTCGAGCAGCAGGGGCCTTGCGCCCTGGGGGACAAGGTAGGGAGGGGGTGGCCTGGCTGCGCTGACCCGCCTACCGACCCCTCTCGACCTGCAGGACTCTGGCTACTGGAGATGGGCGCCCGGCTATCGCGGCGACGGCTGCCGGCGGACCCATCCCTGGCCCTGGACGCGCTGCCCCCGGAGCTGCTGGTGCAGGTGCTGAGCCACGTGCCGCCACGCTCCTTGGTCACGCGATGCCGCCCAGTGTGCCGCGCCTGGCGCGACATAGTGGACGGGCCCACTGTGTGGCTGCTGCAGCTGGCCCGCGACCGCAGCGCCGAGGGCCGCGCACTCTACGCAGTGGCTCAACGCTGCCTGCCCAGCAACGAAGACAAGGAGGAGTTCCCGCTGTGCGCCCTGGCGCGCTACTGTCTGCGCGCGCCCTTCGGCCGCAATCTCATCTTCAACTCCTGCGGAGAGCGTGGGTGACGGGGGCGGGGCCCAGGAGGCTGAGGGGGGCCGCGCGAGCGAGGCGGGGGCGGGGCCGGGACAGAGTCTGAGAGATGTAGCCAATGGGCGAGACCGCTGGAGGAGCCAGGGGGCGGGGCTGAGGGACGCAGTGCCTGGGCGGTAGGCCCGGTGGGCGGGGCTGGAGAAGGTGAAGCCGGGAATCCGAACGAGTGGGCGGGGCAAGGCAGGAAGACCCTGGCTGGGCCGGGGGAGAAAGCAAGTAGTTTGGTATGCAGAGGGGATGCAGAACAGGACAGGGGCCAGGCGCGGTGGGAATGGCAACGCTTTGGGAGGCCAAGGCAGGAGGATCGCTTAAGCCCAAGGAGTTCAAGGCTGCAGTGAGCTATGATCGTGCCATTGCACTACAGCCTGCGTGACAGAGACCTTGTCTCAAAAAAAAAAAAAAATGGTGGGGTGCAGTAGCTCACGCCTGTAATCCCAGCATTTTGGGAGTCTATGGTGGGAGGATCGCTTGAGGCCAGGAGTTTGAGACCAGCCTGAACAACAAAGTGAGACTCTGTCTCTAAAAAATTTAAAAATTAGTCCAGGCGCAGTGGCTCACGCCTGTAATCCCAGCACTTTGGGAGGCCCGAGGGGGCAGATCACTTGAGGTCAGGAGTTCAAGACCAGCCTGACCAACATGGTGAAACCCCATCTCTACTAAAATACAAAATTAGCCAGGTGTGGTGGTGCACGCCTGTAATCCCAGCTACTTGGGAGGCTGAGGCAGGAAAATTGCTTGAACCTGGGAGGCGGAGGTTACAGTGGGCTGAGATCATGCCATTGCACTCCAGCCTGGGCAGCAAGATTGAAACTCCATCTCAAAAAAAAATTAAAAAATTAAATTAGCCAGGCGTGGTGGCATGCACCTGTGGTCCTAGCTACTCTGGAGGCTGATGTGGGAGGATCGCTTGAGCCCAGGAGTTTGAGGCTGCAGTGAGCTATGATGGAGCCACTGCACTCCAGCCTGGGCGACAGAGTGAGACCCTGTCTCTCACACACACAATGAAGAGCAGGACTGAAGGAGAAAGAGCAAGTAAGGGTGGCTGAAGAGAAGCTGAGTGGATGGGCACCGCTGAGAGTCACAGTTGTGGGGTAGGACCAGGAATACAGAATAATGGGAGGAGGAGTCGGTAGGAGAAACCAGGGAGGATTGGAGCACAAGAGGGAGAGGCTGGTGGACAGCACAAGCTGGCTGGTTGCGGGGTCTCTTCTGGGCAGGCTGGCAGGTGAACCATATGTTCAACTCTTGTTTTCCCACAGAGGGCTTCAGAGGCTGGGAGGTGGAGCATGGCGGGAACGGCTGGGCCATAGAAAAGAACCTAACACCGGTGCCTGGGGCTCCTTCGCAGACCTGCTTCGTGACCTCTTTCGAGTGAGTGGCCCAAGTGAGAGGCCCCGATCCCTGGGGCAAAGGCCCCAAAGAAAGGGACCCTACCCCCCACACTGTCCTCATCGTCACCTTCACCCTCTCCTTCCCCCATTTATTTATTCATTGATTCATTCCATCAATCAACAAATACTTGTTGAGGGTACTGTTTCATATGCCAGGGATACAAGGAAAGATCAGGAAGGTTAGCAACCACAGGCAGCAATGCTCTGTGCATCATCGCCTGCAGTTTGTGAGACAACAGCAAGACAGCTTTGATCTAAAGACAGGGTTTTGGGCCGGGCACGGTGGCTCTCGCCTGTAATCCCAGCACTTTGAGAGCCCGAGGTGGGCAGATCACTTTAGGTCAGGAGTGCGAGACCAGCCTGGCCAACAGGGGGAAACCCCGTCTCTACTAAAAAGACAAAAATTAGCTGGACGTGGAGGCTGAGGCAGGAGAATCGCTTGAACCCAGGAGGCAAATGTTGCAGTGAGCCGAGATTGCACCACTGCACTCCAGCCTGGGCGACAGAATGAGACTCTGTCTCAAAAAAAAAAAAAAAGGGAACATGGCAGATTAGCACCCAAGATGGAGTCGCTTTTGCCTCCACAAGGAGTTACTCTATACTAGACACTTTACATATAATTCTGGCAACAACCCTGTGACATAGATACTATTATTGCCCCCACTTTATAACAGGAAACTGAAGGCCGGGCACGGTGGCTCATAGCTGTAATCCCAGCACTTTGGGAGGCCGAAGTGGGAGGATCTCTTGAGCCCAGGAGTTTGAGGTTGCAGTGAGCCTAGGATCATGCCACTGCACTCCAGCCTGGCAACAGAATAAGACCTTGACTCAAAAGAAAAGAAAAAATGAGAATCTGTTCTCCATGGAATGATGGTGCCACCTCTACAGTTTATGAAGTTTCTGTGTATACCTACGTCTGTCCCTGGCACTCTGTTTTTTTTGTTTTTGTTTTTGTTTTTTGAGATAGAGTCTCATTTTGTTGCCCAGTCTAGAGTGCAGTGGCGCAATCTTGGCTCACTGCAGCCTCTGCCTCCCTGGGTTCCAATGATTCTCCTGCCTCAGCCTCCCGAATAGCTGTGACTACAGAGGTGCGCCACCATGCCTGGCTAATTTTTGTATTTTTTGTAGAGAAGAGGTTTCACCATATTGACCAGGCTCGTCTCTAACTCCCGACCTCCGGTGATCCGCCTGCCTCGGGCTCTCAAAGTGCTGGGATTACAGGTCTAAGCCACCGCGCTCAGCCGGTTCCTGGCACTTTGTTCTATTCCATTGCTCAACTTACCCATCCTTCCACCAATACTGCACAATTTATGTTATTATGGCACATTCTAGTTTGAGGAGAAGGACTGTTTACAAAGTTGTAGGCAGGAGCCCCTGAGCTAGTAACAGTTAGGAAAGGAACGTTACCACCCCTAGACTGCTAGAGGTGAGGGGAGGAAACAGTTACTGGAAAATGAGGAGAGAGTGCCATGGAGATTTGCTTTTTCCTTGGGGGACAAGGCAGTCCCTTGAGAAGGACCTAAGAGGATAAATACCCTGATTTTAGTCACCTCTTTCACTTCCATCCCCTGCCGGAGCATCCCATTGGCTGATCCAACAGGAAGCAATGGGTGACAGAGACAAGGCTGTCCAGCTTTAGACCCGGGGCCCTCACACTTTAGGAGGCCACAGAGCTCCCCGCTCACATGTCTAGTATGTGGCCTTCATTTGTAGTCATGTCCTGTCCCACAAAGATGAGGGTCAGGCTTTCATAGAGGTCAGCTGCCTGGAGCCCGCAGCAGGGTGGAGAATGGCAAAGGGACTCCAAGAGGCCAAGGAGAGATGTATAGCCCATCATGCATCTTCAGGTCTGCTAGAGCAAACCCTGAGGGCTGCTTTAGAGAGGGTTATCAAGGGAGACTTCTTGGAGGAGGTGGCTTCTGACTGTGACTTGAATGCCAGGACTGTTTGCCCTGCCCCCTGCCATCTCTCCTTCCCAGATGGTGCTCCAAGAGGCAGCTTGTGGACCTGGTGATGGAAGGGGTGTGGCAGGAGCTGCTGGACAGCGCCCAGATTGAGATCTGTGTGGCTGACTGGTGAGTGAGGAGCGGCACCCTGCCCCAGAGCAGCAGCAGGCTTGGCAGCGGCTCTGCAACAGGGGCTCATTTCCCGCCCCATCAACCCCACGGGTAGCGGCTGTCACTGTGCACCCTTTGTGATGAGGCTGAGAGGGGAAGTGATGCAGAGCCGGGGAAGGTAGAGCTTTGGAGAAGCCAGAGCCCCCACTCTGCACTCCTGCCCACCCTCATCCCAGCAGGCTGGGGTGGTCCACAGGGGGCCACTGACTGGCTTGATACCCCTCTGAAACGAGACACCTCCCCTGACCACCTTGTGGATGCCCAGGGTCTCTGAAGGGGTGGGAGCATGGTGCCCTGTGAGCTGAGGCTCAGGGAGCATAGTTGGGACAGGACTGGCTTCAGAGCCTACAGGCTTAGGATGAATGCCTTCTTCCCAAAACACCCAGGTTCTGCCCCAAAGCATTCCAGCTCCTCCTTCAGGCTGTGGCTCTTCCATAGAAAATCTGGTCTCTTCCCTGGGGCTCTGGCTCTTCCCTGAAGTCATCAGGCACCTGCCCTGCATTGTGGTTCTTCCCCAGAGCATCCTTTCCCGTCCCCCAACTACCTACCCAAAAGCCTCCAGAATCAACCGCAGGACCACCCAGGCTCCTCCCCCAGGACCACCCAGGCTCCTCCCCTGCTCTGGCTCCACCCCAGGACCACCCAGACTCCTCCCCCAGGCTCTGGCTCCACCCCAGGGTCACCCAGGCTTCTCCTCCAGGTTCTGGTTCCACCCCAGGACCACCCAGGCTCCTCCCCCAGGACCACCCAGGCCCCTCCCCCAGGCTCTGGTTCCACCCCAGGACCACCCAGGCTCCTCCCCCAGGACCACCCAGGCTCCTCCCCTGCTCTGGCTCCACCCCAGGACCACCCAGACTCCTCCCCCAGGACCACCCAGGCCCCTCCCCGAGGCTCTGGCTCCACCCCAGGACCACCCAGATTCCTCCCCCAGGACCACCCAGGCCCCTCCCCCAGGCTCTGGCTCCACTCCAGGACCACCCAGACTCCTCCCCCAGGACCACCCAGGACCCTCCCCCAGGCTCTGGCTCCACCCCAGGGTCACCCAGGCTCCTCCCCCAGGCTCTGGCTCCACCCCAGGACCACCCAGGCTCCTCCCCCAGGCTCTGGCTCCTCCCCAGGACCACCCAGGCTCCTCCGCCAGGCTCTGGTTCCACCCCAGAACCACCAAGGCTCCTCCCCTAGAGGTTCCCAGGCCAGGACGTCTCCAAATGTGGTCCAGATGTGCAGGACCTTCATCAAGATGGAGCCAGCCCTCAGCCTCCCGCCCCGAAACCCAGAGAGCTGGCTGGGTGACGGGGGCATAGAGGCTGACTGCTGCCTGGCAGGTGGGGCGCTCGAGAGAACTGCGGCTGCGTCTACCAGCTCCGGGTCCGCCTTCTGGATGTGTATGAAAAGGAAGTGGTCAAGTTCTCAGCCTCACCTGACCCGGTCCTTCAGTGGACTGAGAGGGGCTGCCGACAGGTGGGTCCAGACTAGCTTCCAGCTCCCCCCGACCCGCTAAAGGCACACACGCCCAGCCTCTCGTCTGCTCGGTTTCCCTTCTGTCACTCCTGGATATCTATAATCATAACAGCTAAGAAGTATCGAGCCCTTCTTACATCCCAAGCCCTGTGTCAAGACGCTTACATATCGATTCATTTCATTAGCAAAACCCCTTAATGTTCAACAAACACTGATTGAGCACCTACTGTGTGCTGGGCACCACTCTATGTGCTGGAAATGCAGCAGTGAAGCAAAATCCTATCTCCATTCTAGAGTTGAGGAAACAGAGGCACAGACAGGGAGGTTATGTGACTGGTCCAGTGCAGAGCTGGACTCAAGCCCAATCTGGCACCAAGACTATGCTGTCTTGATCCTCACACCTCAGTTACCAAAGTAAATGTTTCGGCTGGGCACAGTGGCTCATACCTGTAATCCCACCACTTTAGGAGGCCAAGATGGGAGGACAGCTTGAGGGCAGGAGTTTGAGGCCAGCCTGGGCAATATAGCGAGACCTCCATCTCTACAAAGAAATTAAAAATTAGACGGGCATGGTGACTTGCACCTGCAGTCTCAGCTACTCAGGAGGCTGAGGTGGGAGGATGGTTGGAGCCCAGTTGGTCCCACTGCACTCCAGCCAGGGCAACAGACTGAGACGCTAACTAAAAATAATAATAATAATAATAATAATAATGAGTCAGATCAGAAGTCTCACTGCTTGTAATGCTCCTGTGGCTACATCTCACAGTAAAAGCCAAAGTTATGCAGCCACGGAAAAGAAATGAAGCATGAATTCACACTGCAACGTGGATAAACTGAAAACATGATGCTGAAAGAGGCCAGACATGAAATGACAAATACTGTATGATTCCACATATATGAAATGTACACTAAGAAGATTGGCGACTGCCAGGGGCTGGGGGAGGGAGGTCTTGGAAATGACAGCTCATGGATGCAGAGTTTTTTCCTGGGGTGATGGGAATTAGGTAGTGGTGATGGCTGCATAATATCGTGAATCAACTAAAAACCACTGAATTGTACACTTTAAAAAATGAATTTTGGGCCGGGTGTGGTGGCTCATGCCTGTAATCTCAGCACTTTGGGAGGTCAAGGCGGACAGATCACTTGAGGGCAGGAGTTCAACACCAGCCTGCCAACACAGTGAAACCCTGTCTCTACTAAAAATACACAAATTAGCCAGGCACGGTGATGGGCGTCTGTAATCCCAGCTTCTGGGGAGACTGAGGCGGGAGAATTTATTGAACCGGGGGAGGTGGAGGTTGCAGTGAGCTGAGATCATGCCACTGCACTCCAGCCTGGGCGATGGAGCGAGTCTTGGCCTCAAAATAAATAAATAAAATAAAATGGTAAATTTTGGCTGGGCGCAGTGGCTCACACCTGTAATCCCAGCACTTTGGAAGACCATGGCGGGTGGATCACCTGAGGTCAGGAGTTCAAGACCAGCCTGACCAACATGGCAAAACCCCCGTCTCTACTAAAAATACAAAAATTAGCCGGGCATGGTGGTGCGCGCCTGTAATCCCAGCTACTCGGGAGGCTGAGACAGGAGAATCGCTTGAACCTGCGAGGTGGAGGTTGCATTGAGCCAAAATCATGCCACTGTACTCCAGCCTGGGCGACAGAGTGAGACTCCATCTCAAAAATAAATAAATAAATAAAAAGTTTGTTTTACGAAAATTTTATCTCAACTTTTTTAAATTGGAAAAAAAAAAAAAGCCAAAGTCCTCCTGTGGCCCACAAGGCCATGATCTGCCCATGACCTCCCTGACCCCTCTCTTACCTCTCCCCTCACTCAGCTCCAGGCATTCTCCCACCTCAGGGCCTTTGCGCGGGCCGTTCCTGCTGCCTGGGACACCCTCCAGAGCCCCTCCCGGCTCCCTCTCCTCCTTCAGGTGTCACCTCTGTGGGGCCTTTGCTAACTCACTCTACTCACATTCCTGCCACCTTCCTGGCAGAATGCCCCTGGCCCCTCACCCCCACCTATCTCCAGTGTCTGGGCCCCCTGCTAGAATGGCACTGACACCAGGGCGGGGTCCTTTTCCGGTTTTATTCACTGCTCCGTCCCCAGCAAACTAGCGCAGGACTGGCACCTCCTCAGTCCTTTGGGCCTATCTGTTGAAGTGGAGGAAGAGAAGGGGCCCGCAGGCCCTCACCCTCTCACTCCCCTTCCCCCTGCAGGTCTCCCACGTCTTCACCAACTTTGGCAAGGGCATCCGCTACGTATCTTTTGAGCAGTACGGGAGAGACGTGAGTTCCTGGGTGGGGCACTATGGCGCCCTTGTGACCCACTCCAGTGTGAGGGTCAGGATCCGTCTGTCCTAGCGACTGGACTACTGCCTGACGTTGTCAGTCAAGACCAGCCTTGCAGCCAGGTGCAGTGGCTCACACCTGTGGAATCCCAGCACTTCAGGAGGCCGAGGTGGGAGGATCACTGGAGCTCGGGAGTTCAAGACCAGCCTGGGCAACATAGTGAAACCGTCTCCACAAATAATTTTTAAAAAATTAGCCAGGCATGGTGGTGCCGCCTGTAGTCCCAGCTACTCAGGAGGCTTGGGTGGGAGGATTGCCTGAGACCAGGAGGTTGAGGCTGCAGTGAGCCGTGATTTCACCACCACTCCAGCCTGGGTGAGAAAGCAAGACCCTATATCAATGAAAAAAAAAAAAAAAAAGACCAGCTTTGCAGCCAGAAGCCAGAGGATACCCAGGGACAGTAGGGCTCCCAGGTGGCTGGTTCTCAGCACACCTTCCATGAATCTGCTTGCTGCTGCTTCAGTGTGGTGGCCATCATGCTGTGTGACAAACCAGGCTGTTCACAGCTTCCTCAGCCCCCCAGAAGGGGAGTGTCAGGAAGAGACATTTAGTTCATTTGCCTGCAAATTTTCTTCTCCTGCAAGGATCTCGGTGGACTCAGTCACAAAACAAAGGCTAAACCAGGATTTATAAGAGAGGGCTTATAAATCCCTCTGCCGACGCAGGGAGCAGAGACTTGCCGGCATGTTTTGGGGGTAATGATCGTGGGCAGGGAGCAGAGGTCCGCTGAGGCAGTCTGTCCTTGAGACTAACAAAGTCATCTGCTGTTTGGGGAAATCTCTGGTGTTGGGAACAGGCCCCCAAATCTGGCCATAAACTGGCCCCAAAACTGGCCATAAACAAAATATCTGCAGCACTGTGACATGTTTGTGATGGCCATGACCCCCACCCTGAAGGTTGTGGGTTTACTGGAACGAGGGCGAGGAACACCTGGCCCACCCAGGGCGGAAAACCGCTTAAAGGGGTTCCTGAACCACAAACCATAGCATAAGTGATCTGTGCCTTAACGACATGTTCCTGCTGCAGATAACTAGCCAGACCCATCCCTTTATTTCAGCCCATCCCTTTATTTCCTGTAAGAAATGTTTTTAGTTAATCTATAATCTATAGAAATAATGCTTATCACTGGCTTGCTGTCAATAAATATGTGGGTAAATCTCTGTTCAAGGCTCTCAGCTCTGAAGGCCGTGAGACCCCTGATTTCCCACTCCACACCCTATATTTCTGTGTATGTGTCTTTAATTCCTCTAGCACCGCTGGGTTAGGGTCTCCACAACCGAGCTGGTCTCGGCAAGTGGCACCCATACGTGGGGGCTCGAACCCAGGTCGAAGAGTCACTGGAGCGACGGTTGGAGAACGTGGAACTAAGCTGGAGGACACCCGAGTACTCTTAAGCAATCCCCATGGTGAGTAAGAAGGGGAGCTCGGAAGCATCAGGGTAGCAATGGGACAGGTGTGGGTTCTGGTTCATTCCACCTTGGAACCTTTTCACACTGATGAGGAGCAGGGAGAGTGTAATGAAGTAATGGAAGAGGTAACAGAGCAGGTTTGTTTGCCAGCTAAAGCTAAAGTGGCAAAGGAGGAAGAGGTTCATCCCTACCCTTCTGCATCCCCTCCTTAGTGTGAAGAAAAAGAGTGACCTGACCCTCCAGATCTTTCTTTTCCAGAGGACACTGGGTGAAAAGTAGTTGCCCCAGTGACTGTTTGGGCAGTGCCTCAAGCGACTGCTCTCAGTTCCATTCAGGCAGGAATTCAGCAAGCTAGAAGAGAGGGTGATTTAGAGGCTTGGCAGTTCCCTGTTAGAATACATCCCCCAGATCAACAGGGAAATATTACAGCTACATTTGAGCCTTTTCCTTTTAAATTACTCAAAGAATTTAAACAAGCTATTAATCAATATGGACCAGGTTCTCCTTTTGTAACGGGACTGTTAAAGAATGTTGCTGTTTCCAGTCGGATGATTCCTCCTGACTGGGACGCTCTTACTTGAGCTTGTCTAACTCCTGCTCAGTTCTTACAATTTAAAACTTGGTGGGCAGATGAAGCTTCCATTCAGGCTCCTCGCAACACCCAGGCCCAACCTCAAATTGATATAACTGCACACCAACTTTTGGGGGTCGGCGGCTGGGCTGGTTTAGATGCACAGGTGGTCATGCAGGATGATGCCATAGAGCAGCTTAGAGGAGTGTGCATCAGAGCTTGGGAAAAAATCACTTCAGGTGGAGAACAGTACCCTTCCTTTGGTGCTGTAAAACAGGGACCAAAAGAACCGTACACAGATTTTATAGCTCGGTTACAGGAGTATCTTAAAAAGGTGATTGCAGATTCGGCTGCTCAGGATATAGTGTTGCGGTTATTAGCTTTTGACAATGCTAATCTCAATTGCCAGGCTGCTCTGTGACCTATTAGAGGGAAAGCACATTTAGTTGATTATATCAAGGCCTGAGATGGTATCAGAGGTAATCTGCATAAAGCTACTTTGTTGGCACAGGCAATGGCAGGACTGAAAGTGGATAAAGGAAATACTCCATTTCCTGGAGCTTGTTTCAACTGTGGGAAGCATGGGCACACTAAAAAAGAATGCAGAAAAAAATCAGCAAGTCAGGCCGGCAGACAGGGGAAAAAAGAAAACTGCTGAGCCTGATATATGTCCAAAATGTAAAAAAAGGAAAACATTGGGCTAATCAGTGTCACTCTAAGTTTGATAAAGATGGGAACCCGATTTCGGGAAATGCCATGAGGGGCCCATCCCGGGCCCTGTTCGAAACCAGGGGCATTTCCGCCTCAGGCCACTCCTTCACCCCTGTACAATGTCTGTCCCCTGCCACAGCCAGTAATGCCACAGTAGATTTATGCTGCACAAAAGCTGTGAGCCTTCTGCCTGAGGAACCCCCGCAAAAAGTTCCAACAGGGGTCTGTGGACCCTTGCCAGTGGGGACAATAGGATTACTTCTAGGGAGGTGTAGTTTAAATTTAAAGGGGGTACAAGTACAAACAGGAGTCACTGATTCAGATTACAATGGAGAAATTCAAATTGTTTTTTCTACTTCTGTTCCCTGGAAAGCAGAGCCAGGAGAGCGCATAGCACAGCTCCTGAATGTGCCATATGTGGGAATGGGAAAAAGTGAAATTAAACGAACAGGAGGATTTGGAAGCACAAATAAACAAGGCAAAACAGCTTATTGGGTGAATCAAATTACTGATAAACGTCCTACCTGTGAAATAACTATTCAGGGAAAGAAATATAAAGGTTTGGTAGATACAGGAGCGGACATTTCATTTCTCTATAGCAATGGCCGTCCACATGGCCAATTCAACCTGCTCAGTTTAACATAGTTGGAGTTGGTAAAGCCCCTGAAGTATATCAAAGTAGTTATATTTTGCATTGTGAAGGGCCTGATGGACAACCTGGGACTATTCAACCAAAACTTCTGTACCTATAAATTTATGGGGAAGATATTTATTACAACAATGCGGAGCACAAGTTCTAATTCCAGAACAATTATATAGCCCTCAAAGTCAACATATGATGCATGAAATGGGGTATGTCCCTAGTATGGGACTAGGAAAAAATTTACAAGGTTTGAAGGAACCGCTTCAAGCAGAAATACAAGTTTCCGCCAAGGTTTAGGATATTATTTTTGATGGCGGCCATTGTTAAGCCTCCAGAACCTATACCTTTAAAATGGTTAACAGATAAGCCAATTTGGATAGAACAATGGCCGCTAAGTAAAGAGAAACTGAAGGCTTTAGAGGAATTAGTTACTGAATAATTAGAAAACGGACACATAGCTCCAACATTTTCCCCTTGGAATTCTCCAGTTTTCGTAATTAAGAAAAGAATCAGATAAACGGAGAATGTTAACTGACTTAAGAGCCATTAATTCAGTTATACAACCCATGGGTACATTACAGCCAGGATTGCCTTCTCCTGCTATGATTCCAAAAAATTGGCCTTTAATAGTCATAGATTTAAAAGACTGTTTCTTTACTATCCCCTTAGCTGAGCAAGACTGTGAACAGTTTGCATTTACAATTCCTGCAGTAAACAACCTGCAGCCTGCTAAGCGTTTTCACTGGAAAGTATTGCCACAAGGCATGTTAAACAGCCCAACAATTTGCCAGACTTATGTAGGGCAAGCAATTGAACCTACTCGTTAAAAGTTTTCACAGTGTTACATTATTCATTATATGGATGATATACTTTGTGCTGCCCCCACTCGAGAAGTATTACTCCAATGTTATGATCACTTACAAAATTCGATTTCTTGCGCTGGTTTAATTATAGCTCCTGACAAAATTCAGACTACTACTCCTTACTCCTACTTGGGGACCTTAGTAAATGACACTACCATTGTGCCACAGAAAGCAACCATACATAGGAATCAATTGAAAACATTAAAGGACTTTCAAAAATTACTAGGGGACATTAATTGGATACGACCTGCTCTAGGCATTCCTACCTATGCCATGAGTAATCTATTTTCTATCCTTAGAGGAGATCCTGGTCTCACAAGCCCTCGGTAATTAACAAGAGAAGCTGAGGCAGAGCTGCGGCTAATCGAAAAGCAAGTCCATAAAGCTCAAATAAATAGATTAGATCCAGAGAAGACTCTAGATTTGCTAATTTTTCCAACTCAGCATTCACCTACTGGTGTTATTGTTCAAGAGTGAGATCTTGTAGAGTGGCTTTTTCTTCCACATACTAATTCACGGACTCTAACTCCTTATTTGGATCAAATTGCTACTATGATAGGAAATGGGAGAACTCGGATTGTTAAATTACATGGATATGATCCTGGAAAAATTATTATCCCTCTCACAAAGGCACAAATACAGCAAGCTTTTATAAATAGTCTTACTTGGCAAACCAATTAAGCTGACTTTGTGGGTATTCTCGATAACCATTTTCCTAAACAAAACTGTTTTAATTTTTGAAATTAACTAATTGGATTCTCCCTAAAATAACTAAATTTAAACCAATTGAAGGTGCTGAAAATGTTTTTACAGATGGGTCTAGTAATGGTAAAGCTTCTTATTCTGGCTCAAAAAGTAAAGTTTTTCAGATGCCCTATACTTCAGCTCAAAAAGTGGAGCCTGTAGCTGTAATTGAGGTAGTGACTGCTTTTCATATGCCTATTAATGTGATTTCTGACTCTTCATACGTGATTCATTCCACACAATTAACTGAAAATGCTCAGTTACAATTTCCTGCAGATGAACAACTGATGATTTTATTTACCCAACTGCAAACAGCAGTTAGGAGTAGAATGCACCCTTTTTACATCACTCACATTAGGGCTCATACACCTCTTCCAGGCGTCACCTTTTGCAGTGTTTTGCAGTGATGGGCATTCCAGCTTCTATTAAAACAGATAAAGCCCCAGGCTACACTAGCCGAGCTCTAGCTACATTTTTCTCTATACGGAATATTAAACACATTACTGGTATCCCATATAATTCTCAAGGACAAGCCATAGTGGAAAGAATGAATCTCTCCCTGAAACAGCAGTTGCAAAAGCAAAAAAAAGGGGGGAAAACAAGGACTACGGGACACCCCATATGCAACTGAATCTAGCATTGTTAACTTTAAATTTTTTGAGCCTGCCTAAAGGCCAGATCCTATCAGTAGCTGAACAGCATCTACAGAAACCAGCTGCAAAGACAGAAGCAGAACAACTAGTTTGGTGGAGAGATCCAATAACAAAAAGTTAGGAAATAGGTAAAATAATAACTTGGGGTAGAGGTTATGCTTGTGTTTCTCCAGGACTGACTCAACAGCCGATTTGGATACCATCAAGACACCTGAAACCTTATCATGAGCCAGATGCTGAGGAAGAGATTCCGGGAGGAAACTGAGGACCCCCCCCACCCCCGGTTGCAGCCATGTCGAGACTGACGCTGAGGAAGACCCCAACTGTCACGAGCAACACCTGTCAAACACAGCCACCCACCTGGAGACAGATCAAGAAGCTGTCACAGATGGTGGAAGAAAACCTGAGGAAAGTGGGACAACCAGTCGCAATGAGTAATTTAATGGTAGCTATGATAGCGATGATCACCACTGCCATGAGTATTCCTTCAATAAGGGCTGACACAGAGGACAATTATACTTATTGGGCATATTTATCAATCTTGGCTGGCAATAATGCCTGGATGTAATCACTCTATGACACAGTTATACAAGCTTTCTGATCTCATAATAAATCTGCTCCTATAATTGAGGCATACTGCCCTCAAAAACATATTTGTAAACAGGATTGGACCCAGTTAGCAAAAATGAACGTACTTGTTTAGGAAGATTGCTTTGCAGAACAGGCAGAGGTGCTGCACAACAATTCCTATGGAATCATTATTAATTGGTCACCTATGGGGATGTTTAGCTTGAACTGCACCTCTCAGTCTGCATGCCATGGCCACACTGTGATCAGCTCATCTGAACAAAATGGTCAGATGATAGAAATGGTAAGAAATACAGCAAGAGTTCCTATTATCTGGAACCATGGCAGTATAGTGGCACCTCAGCCTCAAATGATATGGCCTGCTCTAGGAGCTAAACATAAGCATTTGTGGAAACTGTTAATAGCTCTTAATAAAATCAAAATTTGGGAAAGAATAAAAAAGCATCTAGAAGGCCACTCTACAAACTTGTATTTGGATATTGCAAAATTGAAAGAACAAATATTTAAAGTATCCCAGGCACACGTGAACTTAATGCCAGGAACTGGAGTGCTTGAAGGAGCTGCAGACAGATTAGCAGCTAGTAACCCATTCAAATGGATAAAAACACTTGGAGGCTCTGTGATTTCAATGATGATTGTGCTTTTACTCTGTGTTGTTTGTCTTTGTATAGTGTGCAGATGCGGATCCTGACTCCTGTGAGAAGTAGCTCACCGTGACAAAGCTGCCTTTGCTTTTATCACTTTGCAAAACAAAAAAGGGGACATGTTGGGAACAGGCCCCTGAATCTGGCCATAAACTGGCCCCAAAACTGGCCATAAACAAAATCTCTGCAGCACTGTGACATGTTCATGATGGCCATGACCCCCACCCTGAAGGTCGTGGGTTTACTGGAATGAGGGCAAGGAACACCTGGCTCACCCAGGATGGAAAACGGCTTAAAGGGGTTCCTGTACCACAAACAATAGCATGAGCGATCTGTGCCTTAAGGACATGTTCCTGCTGCAGATAACTAGCCAGAGCCCATCCGTTTATTTTGGCACATCCCTTTATTTCCCATAAGAAATGCTTTTAGTTAATCTATAATCTATAGAAATAATGCTTATCACTGGCTTGCTGTCAATAAATATGTGTGTAAATCTCTGTTCGAGGCTCTCAGCTCTGAAGGCTGTGAGACCCCTGATTTCCCACTCCACACCCTGTATTTCTGGGTGTGTGTCTTTAATTCCTCTAGCGCCACTGGGTTAGGGTCTCCACGACCCAGCTGGTCTCGGCACTCTGGGATCCTGCCACGGGGCTGTGTAACCAGCCATCTCTGTGCAACATGCCCAGCACTGCCTGTCAGCATCTCCTGTTCAGGTCAGGCTAGCACCTCTCTCATCAGAATTCCAGAATTCCATCAGAGGCCAAGTCCCCCACCCCCACCTCCTGCCCTTGCTTTGGGGGCAACTTCCTGCAAGGTAACACTTCCTTTTCTCCACACTCCTGTATACAGACTCCTGGAGCAGAGTGTGCCATGAGGAAAAGCTCTCCCATCCCCCCATCTCCCTCCACTTCTCTATTTCTCAGCTAGGCATGGCCAACAAACTAGCTCAATAAAACTGGTGCCAAATATGAGGGGATGGGCAATTTTTATCTGTAATCAGTGCACTTATCTGCCACCAGCTCTGATCCTAAAAGACCTTGTGGCCTCATGTTTACAATCAGGAGACCCTCAGGAGGCTGTGTGTTGAGCGTCAAGAGGAACTCGGAGACAGCTATGATGCTCCAAACAGCTCTCAAGCATGCACCCTTATCAGCGCCATTTGGTCCAGGCTCAGAGTGTAAACAACCTGCCCAAGGTCACCCAGCCAGTAAGTAGGGGAGGCAGGGCTTGGAGCAGTGCTGGGCTCCAGAGCCCAATGATATAAACACAGTTCCAACATTGTTTTTTCTTTTTTCTTTTTTTGAGACAGAGTCTCACTCTGTCACCCAGGCTGCAGTGCAGTGGTGCTGATCTCAGCTCACTGCAACCTCCACCTCCCAGGTTCAAGCAAGTCTCCTGCCTCAGCCTCCTGAGTAGCTGAGATTATAGGCACATGCCACCATGCCCGGGTAATTTTTGTATTTTTAGTAGAGACAGGGTTTCACCATGTTGGCCAGGCTGGTCTCAAACTCCTGACCTCAAGTGGTCGGCCCACCTCGGCCTCCCAAAGTGTTGAGATTACAGGCATGAGCCACTGCACCTGGCCCCACTTCTTAAATCTTACATGGCCAAAAACATGATCAGGTGCAGTCAGCATTATCATCAGTGCCATTTTCCAAGGGAGGAAACCGAGGCCCATAGGGGGAACCAACATAGCCAGGTCTCATAGCAATTATGACGGGGAGCAGAATTTGAGCTCAGGTGAACCCAGTAATAATTTTATATTATTATATAATATAATAGTGGCTCACACCTATAATCCAGCATTTTAGGAGGCCAAGGTGGAAGGATCTCTTGAGGCCAAGAGTTCGAGACCAGCCTGGACAACAAAGCCAGATTCCCACTCTAAAAAAATGGAAAAGTTAGCCAGGTGTGGTGGCACACACCTGTGGTCCTGACTACTCAGGAGGCTGAGGCGGGAGGATCTATTGAGCTCAGGAGGTCAAGGCTGAAGTAAGCTTTGATCATAGAACCGCACTCCAGCCTGGACAACACAGTGAGACTCTGTCTCTCTCTCTACACAAACACACACAAACACACACACACACACACACACACACACACACGTATAAAATAAAAGAACAGCTCCCGGGTGTGGAGCAGCACACCCCATTGAATCCTTTCCACACCCCTTCCACATCAACATTACAATTACTGCCATTTTCCAGCTGTCCATGCTTGAGGGCAGAGTTTATGTGCCCAGAACCCATGGCCTGCAGGAAGAAGACCTGGGCCTCTGTGCCACCTACCTGACTCCTAAGCTTAAAATACAGTAGCCCTCTGCCAGGCGTGGTGGCTCACGCCTGTAATCCCAGCACTTTGGGAGGCCAAGGTGGGCAGATCACCCGAGCTCAGGAGTTTGAGACCAGCCTGGCCAACATGGTGAAACGCTGTCTCTACTAAAAATACAAAAATTAGCCAGGCCTGGTGGTGTGTGCCTACAATCCCAGCTACTCGGGAGGCTGAGGCAGGAGAATCATATGAACCCGGGGGGCAGAGGTTGCAGTGAGCTGAGATCAGGCCACTGCACTCCAGCCTGGGCAACAGAGTGAGACTTTGTCTAAAAAAAAAAAAAAGAGCCCTCCGTGCGTGTTATGCACATAGAGCATCGAATTTAATCTTCACCAAACCAAACAAAGGAGATACCACCAATGGAGCTATTTTCTGGAGGAAACTGAAGCTCAGAGATGTCCACTGCCACAGCCACACAGAGGGCAAATACTCCACAAGGGGATTTACATCACAAGCGCCAGGGTCTGTTTATTAAAACCCCTTCCCAGCAGAGGGCAGTACAGTGTCTTGTCCCAGCAGAAAAGGTCCTTCAGGCCACCCCTCTAAACACAGGAGCCAAGGGTGTTGACAGAGGGGCACCCTTTGCACCCCCAGGACTCCTATGGCTTAATAGTGGTCCTGATGGAAGAGGCGGAGCCAGGACTTGAATCCATGAGTGGCTGCCTCTAGAGGCGCAAAGGCCAGCATCGGAGGACCCTGTGGCAGCCAGGAGCGGAAGGTTCATGTTCTGCAGGGGCGCCCAGCCCACTGTGCCCCCAGCCGTCACTTCTTCTGCACGTGGCCACAGTCGTACTTGCCACGCACAACGGTGAGCTTGACGCCTGGCAGGTCCTGGGTGCGGCCGCCCTCCACAAGGACAATCTGGTGCTCCTGCAGGGTGTGGCCCTCCCCAGGGATGAAGCAGACGGCCTCGCGGCCAGTGCTGAGCCGCACTCGACAGCACTTGCGATTGGCTGAGTTGGGCTTCTTCGGCTTGCGGGTAAACGTGCACAGGACCACACCCTTCAGCTGCGGCCGGCCTTCCGTGGGGCCCAGCTTCCGAGGCGGCCGCTTGGGGGGCCCCAGGCGGTGCATCTGGTTCAGGGTAGCCATGGAGCAGGTAGCCCAGAGCCGGGGAACCAGAGCTGGGCCTGGAGAGGGCCGAAAGGGGTTATTATCCCAGAGAACAGATCTTAGAGTAGTAGCAACTCAATTTTGGTGTTTTAGGCATTGTTTAAAGCACTTTACAAAGATGCATTTGTTCACATCTAATGTTATCTACAGACAAAAGTAACTCTTTATTCTTCAAGGAAGCATTACCTTTTTTTTTTTTTTCTTTTTTTTTTTTGAGACAAAGTCTCACTCTGTCGCCCAGGCTGGAGTGCAGTACCTCAATCTTGGCCCACTGCAACCTCTGCCTCCTGGGTTCAAGCAATTCTCCTGTCTCAGCCTCCTGAGCAGCTGGGACTACAGGCACCCACCACCACGCTCGGCTAATCTTCGTATTTTTAAGTAGAGACGGGGTTTCACCATGTTGGTCAGGCTGGTCTCGAACTCCTGACCTCGGCCTCTCAAAGTGCTGGGATTACAGGCGTGAGCCACCACGGCTGGCCAGGAAGCATTATTTTT
Organism: Homo sapiens; assembly: GCF_000001405.40. Taxonomy (NCBI): domain Eukaryota; kingdom Metazoa; phylum Chordata; class Mammalia; order Primates; family Hominidae; genus Homo; species Homo sapiens. The sequence continues at coordinate 341,526 of NW_014040929.1, read as the reverse complement.
AATGCTGTTTAAAATAATAGTAGGCTCAGTGGCTCATGCATGTAATCCTAGCACTTTTGGAGGCTGTGGAGGGTCACTTGAGCTCAGGAGTTAAGGCCAGACTGGGCGACACAGGGAGACCTCCCTCTCTACAAAGAATCAAAAAGTTAGCTGGTTGTGGTTCTGCAGGCCTGTGGTCCCAGCTACTTGGGAGGCTGAGGCGGGAGGATCACTTGAGCCCAGGAGGTCGAGACTGCAGTGAGCTGTGATCACACCGCTGCACTTCAGCCTGGGCGACAGAGGGAGATCTTAAATAAATAAATAATAAAACTGACCCAAACGCCGCTTGACACGCAGTAGCCCTCCATGCAGCTGCTTCCCACCTCTTGCTCTAGCAGCCCTAGCTCTGCCAAAACCCCACCGTGTTTTTCCACCCCCGTTTCCCTCGGGGCTCCGACGGAGGCACACAAGTCCAAGAGCGAATAACCCTCCCCCTCTAGCCTCGTCCCTGAAGCCCAAGTCCCCCACTTACCACAAGTTAGGGACGTGTTGAGGCCATGGAGAAGGCCAGACCAGGACATCCTGCCACCTGGGCCGTCCCTGTGGTAGGGGATAAGAGACTCAGAAAGGAGGAAAAAGTGACCGATCCGCAAATGCTCCCCGATCCGCTCTCAGGACTTTCTGGCTTAAATCAAAGGAAATACCTCTATAGGTCTAACCACAGGCCCTCATGCTGCTAACAGAAAGTCCCTCCGTAAATTTAGCCTCGCTCTGAGTGGGTTCCCGAGGGCCCAACCACTCTCGCCCGCACGCAGGAAGAACTGGGAAACTGGGGAGATGGCCTGGTAGATTTGGAGGACCCCAGGATTCCACCGACCTCACAGGACCTAAAGGTGAGGTCGCGGACACGCTGAATCCAGCTTCTAGCCTCTTCCGGGCGCTATCCGTGCAGGGATTGGCTGGTTCTGCCTCGCGTCACTGAAGAGGCGGGACACAGACGACGATTGGGCGACGAAGGACTCTATCGCGGTCAACTTTCCTCAGGATCTGATTGGCTCGTCACGGTCAGGTTCGCTGCCTTGCAATTGGTCTAAACGCGGAGTGGGCGGGACGAAGTGCCGCCTTGTTCCCGGTCCAAGATGGCTGCGTCCATGGCGCGGCGCTTGTGGCCTTTGCTGACTCGTCGGGGGTTCCGGCCCCGGGGAGGCTGCATCTCCAACGATAGTCCAAGGAGAAGTTTCACTACAGAGAAACGAAACCGGAACCTCCTGTACGAGTATGCGCGCGAGGGCTACAGCGCACTCCCTCAGCTGGACATAGAGCGGTTCTGCGCATGCCCAGAAGAGGCCGCACACGCCCTGGAGCTCCGCAAGGGGGAGCTGCGCTCGGCGGACCTGCCCGCGATCGTGAGTGCGCCTGCGCCGGCCGGGGGGCGCAGACGTTTGCTTTACGGAAGAATTGGGTTTGCAAGATGCCCTCCGGCAGGGGGCGAACCTGTAGTAGGAATTTTAGTTATTTCCCAAGTTAGCCAACGTCTTGTGCATGGCACCCACTTATGTGCCAGTTGTCCAGTGAGTGCTGAGGCCCTACTATGTGCCAAGAATGCCTACTGTGTCCTGGACACCCATTATGCGCTTGTTTCATACTGCTCGCTGGGTACCTCCTGTCCTTTAGGAACTTGCTATGTGACATTGCCCTCCGTGCTGCAACCTCATGCCAGCCTTTCCCTAAGACCACAAAGGAAAATGGGGAGCCAAGTGTGAATCGGACGGGGTCAGGGCTGGGGTGTGGTGGAGCTCTTGCGTTTAGAGAGAGAGGTAGGGAGAGTTGTGCACCTCCGCCACACATAGCAGGCAGTTAAATAGAGTTAATGAATGAATGAATGAATCCATTAATGAATGGTTCTATTAAACTGATACTTAAGGTGCAACTGCTATATTCCGGTGTTCTAGATGTTGCAAATATGCGGTGAATAATAATAAAATTGCTAGCACTTATAAAAGGGAATTAGGACCGGGTTCACAATATCTCTGTGTTGAGGTGCTAACGATAGTGGGGTCCCCACGTCTTCCCATTCCTCTCTTGGACTCCCCTCCCAGCCTGTTTGAAGTGCTTTATTCACTTTAACCTCGTTTAATTTTCACAGCAACTCTATGAAGTAGGTGCCATTATTTCTCCCATTTTATCAGAGGGGAAACTAAGGCTTCGAGAAGCTAATTCACTTGCGCTAGGTCATGCAACTGGGAAGTGGCAGAGTGGGAATTTTAACCTGTGCTTTCTGGCCTAGAATCCACTTTTTTTTTTTTTTTTTTTGAGATAGGGTGTTGTTCTGTCGCCCAGGATGGCAGGATGGAGTACAGTGGTACAATTATAGCTCACTGGAACCTTGAATTCCTGAGCTCAAATAATCCTCCCACTCAGCCTCCCGTGTAGCTGGGACTACAGGCAGACACCACCACGCCCGGCTAAACTTTTGTATTTTTTGTTGAGACAGGGACATACTATGTTGCCCAGGCTGGTCTTGAACTCCTGCGCCCAAGTGATCCTCCCACCCTGGCCTCCCAAAATGCTGAGATTACAGGCATGAGCCACCACACCCAGACTCCACAATCTTAAGTACCCTGCTGTGCCCTCTCATGATCTGAGTTCACAGTCTAGTAAAAGACATTTTTTTTTTGAGATGGAGTTTTGCTCTTGTCTCCCAGGCTGGAGTGCGCTGCGACTTCTGCCTCCCAGGTTGAAGTGATTCTCCCACCTCAGCCTCCCGAGTAGCTGGGATTACAGGCACATGCCACCACATCTGCATAATTTTTGTATTTTTAGTAGAGACGGGGTTTCACCATGTTGGCCAGGCTGGTCTCGAACTCTTGACCTCAAGTGATCCACCCACCTTGGCCTCCCAAAGTGCTAGGAGTACAGATGTGAGCCACCATGCCCCACTAAAAGACATTTAACATATACAACTATACATATATACTAATTACAATTTCTGGTAAATTTGACTACCTAGAGTAATCAAATTCATAGAGACAGATATACTCATTATAATCTGTGGTAAATGCTGTGAAGGCAAAGTGGAGGACAGCCTGGGAGGACTTCTCAGAGGAGGTGGCATTAAACAAAGATCTGTGGATTGAGAAATCACCAGGGAAGAGGGAAGAAGAGTATCCCAAGTAGGGGACCAGAATATACAAAAGCCTGGAGGTAGGATGGAAAATTCCATTTGATGGCCATGTAGATAATTTAGAGCGTCACATCCTTTAGCAGGCTTTTTCAAACTTTGTGGCCAAGAGTAAGAAATACATTTCACATCCTGACCCAGTACACACACCCAAAATTGAAACCGGTTTCATTAACAATTATTGCTCTTACCACGTGTGATGCATTCTTGTTCTTTAATTATATTCTCTTTCATTTGTAAAGTGCTAGTTGTTGTTTTTTTTTTTTGCGGGGGGGGGGGCCAGGGGTGTGTTTTTGTTGTTTGTTCGTTTGTTTTTTAAGACTGAGTCTTCCTCTGTCGCCCAGGCCTGAGTGCAGTCGCACAATCTCCGGTCACTGCAACCTCCGCCTCCTTGATTCAAGTGATCGTCGTGCCTCAGTCTCCCAAGTAGCTAGGGTTATAGTTGTGCACCACCACACCCAACTAATTTTTGTATTTTTAGTAGAGATGGATTTTGCCATGTTGGCCAGGCTGGTCTCGAACTCCTAACTTCAAATGATCCACTGGCCACGGCCTCCCAAAGTGCTGGGATTACAGGCATGAGCCACTGCGCCTGGCTATTCTCTTCATTTTCAAAGTAGTAGTTTAGACGTGCATTTGAGCAGCTGTTTGTTTGTTTGTTTGAGATGGAGTCTTGCTGTGTCGCCCAGGCTAGAGTGCAGTGGTGCAGTCTTGGCTCACTGCAATCTCTACCTCCCGGGTTCAAGCAATTCTCCTGCCTTGGCCTCCTGAGTAGCTGGGATTACAGGCGCACGCCTCCACCCCCAATTAATTTTTGTATTTTTAGTAGAGACAGGGTTTCACCATCTTGGCCAGGCTGGTCTCGAACTCCTAACTTTGTGATCCACCTGCCTCGGCCTCCCAAAGTGCTGGGATTACAGGTGTGAGCCACCACACCCAGCCTCAAGTAGCTATTATTAAAAACAAAACAGAAAAGGACAAGTGTTGGCAAGAATTGTGTTGTGGAAACGTCGGAATCGTTGTGCATTGCTGTTGGGAATGTGTATAAAGTGGTACGGCTGCCATGGAAAACCGTATGGCAGTTCCTCAAAAAAATAATAAATTTTTTTTTTTTTTGGAGACAAGGTCTCACTCTGTCACCCACGCTGGAGTGCAGTGGCATGATCTTGGCTCATGGCAGCCTCTCAGGCTCCGTGAGACTTCCAGGCTCAAGCACAAGCAATCCTCCAACCTCAGCCTCCCAAGTAGCTGGGATTACAAGCATGTGCCACCATGCCCAGCTAATTTTTGTAGAGACAGGGTTTCTCCATGTTGCCCAGGCTGGTCTCGAACTCCTGGGCTCAAATGATCCACCTGCCTCAGCCTCCCATATTATGTACATTGTAACAATTTTTTTTGTTTTTGAGACAAGGTGTCAATCTGTCACCCAGCTAATTTTTTTAAAGTTTTTTTGTAGAGACCGGGTGCTGTGGCTCACACCTGCAATCCCAGCACTTTGGGAGGCCAAGGCAGGCAGATTGCGTGAGGCCGGGAATTCCAGACCAGCCTGGCCAACATGGTGAAACCCTGCCTCTATTAAAAAATACAAAACTTAGCCAGGTGCAGTGGCACGTACCTGTGGTCCCAGCTACTCAGGAAGCTAAGGCAGGAGAATCACCTGAACCTGGGAGGCAGAGGTTGTAATGAGCCAAGATCATGCCACTACACTCCAGCCTGGGTGACAGAGTGAGACTCTGTCTCAGAAAAAAAAAAAAAAAAAAAATTTCTTAGAGGCAGGTCTTCCTGTGTTGCCCAGGCTGGTCTGGAACTCCTGGGCTCACTCAAGCAGTCCTCCCACCTAGGCCTCCCAAAGTGCCACACCCAGCCATGATTTTTTAAAGTGCTAGTTTAGAGACTTTTTTTGTTTGAGACAGAGTTTCACTCTTGTTGCCCAGGCTGGAGTGTGCAGTGGCACGATCTCAGCTCAGTGCAACCTCCGCTTCCTGGTTTCAAGCGATTCTCGTGCCTCAGCCTCCTGGGTAGCTGGGATTACAGGTGCCTGCCATCACACCTGGGTGATTTTTGTATTTTTAGTAGAGATGGGGTTTCACCATGTTGACCAGGCTGGTCTTGAACTCCTGATCTCAAGTGATCCACCCACCTTGGCCTCCCAAAGTGCTGGGATTATAGTTATGAGCCACTATGCTCGGCCAGTGTGTCTGAATTCTGGGCATCTGTGTGGCCAGCTGAACCTCAGGGCATTCCAGTACTGAAGGGAGGAGGGGAGGATGGCCACTGAGGGCTAGGTAGGGATCTCTGCCTCACTGCGCCGCAGGTCCAGGTGGCCAGTGGGCTCCAGAGAGAAGGGTAGGGGTGATGGCTGCTTCATCTCCTTTTCTCTTATATCCACCCCAGATCTCGACATGGCAGGAGCTGAGGCAGCTGCAGGAGCAGATCCGGAGCCTGGAGGAAGAGAAGGCAGCTGTGACTGAGGCAGTGCGGGCCCTGCTGGTGAGCATGGTGCCCTGAGTAGGTGGGGAGTGGCCACGAGGGTGTCTCTAGACACAGGTAACAGGAAACCGAATTTAAAGAACTTGAACAGGCTGGCACGGTGGCTCACGCCTATAATCCCAGCTACTCGGGAGGCCTAGGTTGGTGGATCAGCTGAGGTCAGGAGTTTGAGACCAGCCTGGGCAACATGGTGAAACCCCATCTCTACTAAAAATACAAAAGTTAGGCGGCATGGCGGTGGACACCTGTAATCCCAGGTACTTGGGAGGCTGAGGCAGGAGAATCGCTTGAACCTAGGAGGCGGAAGTTGCAGTGAGCTGAGATGGCGCCACTGCACTCCAGCCTGGGCGACAGAGCGAGACTCCCTAAATAAATAAATAAGCAAGCGTGAACAATGTGGACATGCATTACCTCACATAGCGAGCTGTTGCAGGACCCTGGCATCCCTAGGGCTGATTAATTAGCGGTTCTTCCAGCATCCCCAGCCCAGGTCCTTTCCTTCTCTCTGTACCGGCAACTTCACTGCACTGATCTTTCCTCAGTTTCCCATCAGGGTTTCCAGATGGCTGCTGTAGTCCAGCATCTCCTCACATGACTGTGCCAGGGGAAGGAGACAGAGACTTCTCTGGCTTGAGTTCCTTTTTCAGGAGCAAGTACACCTTTCCTGAAGCATCCAGCAAAGTCCCCTCGTGTCCCCTGGGCCCAGACCCCCACCACACTCCAGTTGTCAGCCGGAGGAATGGAGTTCCGGCAGCCGGCATAGGCTGATCAGAGGCCATCCTCCACCTGGGCCCACTTCCCCTGAACTACAGGCTACCAGGGAAGGGTGAACTGCGTCAGAGTTCTGTGGGGAAGGAGGAAGAAGGGATCTTTATTTTGTTTTTATTTTTTTGAGACCGAGTCTCACTCTGTTACCCAGGCTGGAGTGCAGTGGCATGATCTGGGCTCACTGCACCCTCTGCCCCCTGGGTTCAAGTGATTCTTCTGCCTCAGCCTCCCCAGTAGCTGGGATTACAGACATGCGCCACCACGCCCGGCTAATTTTGTATTTTTAGTAGAGATAGGGTTTCACCATGTTGGCCAGGCTGGTCTCAAACTCATCACCTCAGGTGATCCACCCGCCTTGGCCTCCCAAAGTGCTGGGCTTACAGGTGTGAGCCACTGCGCCTGGCCTGGAAGGAGGGATCTTGGGTTATACAACCAACAGTGTCTGCCACAGACGGCTTAAAAACAATCATAAAAACAACAGCAGACCTTTATGTAGAAGTCGCTACACACCATACCAGGTGTTTTCCATACTCTTAATCCTCACAGCCATTTGTCACACAGGAACAATACAAACCCAATTTTACAGCTGGGAAAAAGTGAGGCCCTAAGAGATTAAAACGGGCCTAAATGGCCGGGTATGGGGGTACGCACTTGTAGTCCCAGCTACTCTGGGGCTGAGGCAGGAAGATCGCTTGAGTCCAAGAGTTTGAGGCTGCAGTTAGCTATGATCGCACCATCACACTGCAGCCTGGGCGACAGAGTGAGACCCTGTCTCCGAGAAAAAACAACCAGAAAAAGTACGTAAGTCTCACAGCCAGGAAGTGGGAGAGGCAAGGTTCGCACCTAGGCAGTTGGTTTTTACCACTCTGTTTGGAGGCCTCTGCCACCAAGAATCACATCTCCCAGCACCTACTGAGTGGCCAGCCTCGGGCTGTCTACATCATGGACAACCAATGAAAGCAACACAATGGATCATTTAATGTTCTTTGAGTGCTAACTCATCTCAGGGAAGCTGCACAACAGCCCTGCCCAGGGAGGTCCTGTTATCATCCCACTTCACAGATGGGGATACTGAGGCTCAGAGGGGGCAGAGATTTTCCCAAGGGCTCACAGCATGTAGGTGCCCAACATTCAGACCCAGGCTGTTCGATTCCCTCAGCTGCTTAGGATCATGGAAGGTTCAGAATGTCAAGGGGCCTTGGTTGCAGGCCCTCAAATGCACACTGATAGACTTTACCTCTCTGAGCTTCCATTTTCGAATCTACAGACAGGGTATATTAGTCCATTTTCTTCTTTTTTTTTTTTGAGACAGAGTCTCACTGTGTCACCCAGACCAGAGTACAGTGGCACGATCTCGGCTCACTGCAACCTCCACCTCCCAGGTTCAAGGGATTCTCGTGCCTCAGCCTCCTGAGTCGCTGGGATTACAGGCACGTGCCACTGCACCCAGCTAATTTTTTTTTGAGACTGAGTCTCGCTCTTCCACCTAGGCCAGACTGCAGTGGCACTATCTCGGCTCACTGTAAGCTTTGCCTCCCGGGTTCACGCCATTCTCCTGCCTCAGCCTCCCGAGTAGCTGGGACTACAGGCGCCCGCCACCGCGCCCAGCTAATTTTTTTTCTGTATTTTTAGTAGAGACCATGTTAGCCAGGATGGTCTCGATCTCCTGACCTCGTGATCCGCCCGCCTCAGCCTTCCAAAGTGCTGGGATTACAGGCGTAAGCCACCAAGCCCGGCCTGATTTTTGTATTTTTAGTACAAGGTTTTAGAGATGAGGTTTCTCCATGTTGGCCAGGCTGCTCTCCAACTGCTGGCCTCAGGTGATCTGCCCACCTCAGCCTCCCAAAGTGCTGAGATTACATTTGTGAACCACCACGCCTGGCCCCATTTTCACACTGCTATAAAGAAAACCTGAGGCCGGGCGCGGTGGCTCACGCCTGTAATCCCAGCACTTTGGGAGGCCGAGGTGGGCGGATCACGAGGTCAGGAGATCGAGACCATCCCGGCTAAAACGGTGAAACCCCGTCTCTACTAAAAATACAAAAAAATTAGCCGGGCGTAGTGGCGGGCGCCTGTAGTCCCAGCTACTAGGGAGGCTGAGGCAGGAGAATGGCGTGAACCCGGGAGGCGGAGCTTGCAGTGAGCCGAGATCCCCCCACTGCACTCCAGCCTGGGCGACAGAGCGAGACTCCGTCTCAAAAAAAAAAAAAAAAAAAAGAAAACCTGAGATCAGGCTGGGCGCGGTGGCTCACGCCTGTAATCCCAGCACTTTGGGAGACCAAGGCAGGTGGATCACAAAGTCAGGAGATCGAGACCATCCTGGCTAACATGGTGAAACCTTGTCTCTACGAAAAATACAAAAAAAATTAGCCGATCGTGGTGGCGGGCACCTGTAGTCCCAGCTACTCAGGAGGCTGAGGCAGGAGAATGGCGTGAACCCAGGAGGTGGAGCTTGCAGTGAGCCAAGATCGCGCCATTGCACTCCAGCCTGGGCGACAGAGCAAGACTCCGTCTCAAAAAAAAAAAAAAGAATACCTGAGACTGGGTAATTTATAAAGAAAAGAGGTTTAATTGACTCACAGTTCCATATGGCTGGGAGGCCTCAGGAAACTTAAAATCATGGCGGAAGGGGAAGCAAGGCACTTTCCCTTCCACATGGTGGCTGGAGACAGCCACAGGGGGTAACTGCCAAATGCTTTTAAACCATCAGATCTCGTGAGAACTCACTATCAGGATAACAGCATGGGGGAAACCGCCCCCAGGACCCGATCACCTCCCACCAGGTCCCTTCCTCAACAGGTGGAATTACAATTTGAGATATTATTTGGGTGGAGACACAGCCAAACCATATCACAGGGTTTACACGAATGCCTACCTCCTAAAGTGGATTTTGAAGAAATCATGGCATGGGAGAGCCCTGTACATAGAGCCTGGCATGGAGGCATCACTTCCTATACGGATCTGCGGCTGTGATTACTGTTAATTATCTTGCCTCCTTGTAGCGTTAGCAATAGAGAAACAGAAACACAGAGTTGCAGAGGGACCCAGCTAGGCACTGACAGAGCAGGAGACTAAGATCCTCTGGCCTTGTTTGACCTTTCACCATTTTTTCTCTTCCCCACCCTCGACTTTGTCAACCTAATCACCCACCCTGTCTCTTTTCTACCAGGCAAACCAGGACAGTGGTGAAGTGCAGCAGGTACTGTGAAGAGTTGATGTCCTATCCAGGGTTGGGGGTGGGCAGGGAGGATACCCTGCCAGTCACGATTCTACTATTGTAACAGAAAACAACTCAAACAGGTTTAAGGGGAAAAAAAAAATAGGCTCTATTGATGCATGAAACTAAAACTGGCTTCAGGTGCGGCTGGATCCAGGTGCTGGCTCCATATTTGGTCCTACGTTCCTCCCATTCCCAGGCCAGCTTTCTCTCCTTGTGTAAGTAGGAGGCAAAGTCAAGCACGCTTTCCTGATAGTTCCAGTTAAAGTCCTGGGGCTGATTCTCATGAGTTCAGCTGACATCAGGTGCCTGTCTCTGAGCCAGTCATTGTGGCCAAGGCAATAGAACGTTCTAGTTGGCCAGGCCTGATTCTTTTCCCCACAAACCTGCCATGTGGTGGTAAGGGAAGTTCTGCGAAGACGTTCAGGATCCTGGGCCTGGAGAAGAGGCATGAATGTCCACCACAGGGGCTCTGCCGGTCAGGATCAAGGTCACACTGGATGAGGGAGTCCTGACCCTCTCCCGGGCTGAGCCCACCTGTGCTGCCCCCAGGACCCCAAGTACCAGGGTCTGCGGGCACGTGGCCGGGAGATCCGGAAGGAGCTTGTTCACCTGTACCCCAGGGAGGCCCAGCTTGAGGAGCAGTTCTACCTGCAGGCGCTGAAGCTGCCCAACCAGACCCACCCAGACGTGGTGAGCACCGTGCTGGGTGGCAGGGAGGCCAGGGGCCCACCTAGTGCCACCTTTCCGTGACTCCTGCTGTCTCCCTGCAGCCCGTCGGGGATGAGAGCCAGGCTCGAGTGCTCCACATGGTCGGAGACAAGCCAGGTGGGCCACACCCCAGGCCTGGGAGCTGACAAGCCCTGCGGTGTGGGGGTTCTGGGGTCTCGGGGTGGGGGCCCCTGGGGTCTGGGAACATGTCTGGAGCCTGGAGAACTCCTGGCGGTACAGGAGGTGGCTCCAGCTTCCTGCCTTGGCCGAGCTCGAGCTGTCTCTGAGAGGCGGTCCTTGGGTTTTCATTCTCTCCCCCTTCACCATTGGGCAGTCTCACCCTGTGTTGTGTGATTGTATCGTATGTGTGTGAGTGTGTGTCGTGTATGTATGTGTTGTGTGACTGTGTGTCATGTGTGTCTGTATCTGTGTGTCTGTATCTGTATGTGTGTGTCTGTATCTGTGTATCTGTGTGTGTCTGTATCTGTGTATCTGTGTGTGTCTGTATCTGTGTGTGTGTGTCTGTGTTTGTGTGTGTCTGTATCTGTGTCTGTGTCTGTGTGTGTGTGTCTATGTGTGTGTCTATCTCTGTGTGTGTATATCTGTGTTTGTGTGTGTGTGTGTCTGTGTGTGTCTATGTATCTGTGTGTATGTATCTGTGTGTCTTTCTCTGTGTCTGTGTGTATGTGTCTGTCTCTGTGTGTCTGTGTGTGTATCTGCATATCTCCGTGTATCTCTGTGTGTATGTCTGTATCTGTGTCTGTGTATCTGTGTCTTTGTGTGTATCTGTGTGTGCGTGTCTGTCTTTGTGTGTCTGTATCCGTGTATCTGTGTGTCTGTCTCTGCGTGTCTGTGTATGTGTCTGTCTCTGTGTGTCTGTATATGTGTGTGTGTCTTCGTACCTCTGTGTGTATCTCTGTGTGTGTATGTATGTGTGTGAGTGTGTGTGTGTCTCTGTCTCTCTCTCTGACCCCCCTGCTTTGGTCCCTGTCTCCGGGGCTTTTTCTCCCCAACTCTGTGCCTCCTCTCTGATTCTCCTCCTCCCTTCCTCGTGGTGTTTCCTTCTCCTCTGGCCTCTCTCCTCTGTTTCTAACTCTGCCTTCCCCACCCCGCGCCCTCTTATTTCCCTCTCTGCCTCCTCTCATTTCCTCTCCCTGTCTCTGTTTTTATCTCCCTCCCTTCCTGTCTGTCTTTTCTTCCCTTTCCCTCCCTTTCCGTGTCTTCTTCTCCCTTCTCTCCTCCTGCCCCTCCTTTATTTTCTCTCACCGTCCCTCCTCTCTGCTGTCTCTGGAAGCTTCTATCTGGGCCCCATCCCTCTCTCCCCGCTGCCTTACACCGGTGCTTTTCACCCACATCCAGTTTTCTCCTTCCAACCTCGGGGCCACCTGGAAATTGGCGAGAAACTCGACATCATCCGTCAGAAGTGAGCCCCTCCCCTGGCTCCCCACGCCCCTCTCCCAGCTGCCTGCACCCCGACAGCTGGCTCCTGCCTCATTGGCCTCAGCGTGAGATGTGGAAATGCCATGAATCTTTGATGCCCCAGCCCCACCCAGCAGCCGGGCCTCTTCCCCCGGGTGTTTTCATCCCCACATTCCCTGCCAGCCTGGCCCATGTGCACCCGCCTGTCTGTCTGTCTCCCAGGCGCCTGTCCCACGTGTCTGGCCACCGGTCCTATTACCTGCGCGGGGCTGGAGCCCTCCTGCAGCACGGCCTGGTCAACTTCACATTCAACAAGCTTCTCCGCCGGGTATGGGCCAAGATAGGAGGGCTGCCTGGAGGGGGTGGCATCGAAGCTGAGCTCAGAGGGCCCAACGGGGATGGGAGTGATCTCTGCTCTGCCCTAGTCACTGCTCTCAGAGCTTCATGTGTATCATTGACACATTTAGTCCTTACGACAACTTTATGAAGTGGGTGCTGTCATCATCCCCACTTTACAGAGAGGGCTTGAGGCCCAGAGAGGGGAGGTACCTATAGCCCAAGGTCTCACAGCCAGTCTGGAGCTGGGCCTAGAGCCTGTGCTTGTAATCATTGCACCTCACTGCCTGCTTGCGGTATAAAGGGAGCATTTGGGAATCATAGCATCCATTGAAACATGGCAGGGACTGGTTGCATGGAGCATTGGTCACGGTGAGGAACTCAGACATTTTCAGAGGGTACTAGGGAGCCATGGGAGGCTTTTAAGCAGGGGAGGGTGTGGCCAAATCTGTACTTTTTTGTTTTTTGAGACGGAGTCTCGCTCTGTCACCCAGGCTGGAGTACAGTGGTGCAATCTTGGCTCACTGCAACCTCCACCTCCCGGGTTTAAGTAATTCTCCTGCCTCAGCCTCCTGAGTAGCTGGGATTACAGGCACATGCCACCATGCTGGCTAATTTTTTTTTTTTTCTTTTTGACAGAGTTCGCTCTGTCACCCAGACTGGAGTGCAGTAGCACGATCTCCATGCCGGCTAATTTTTGCCTTTTTAGTGGAGAGGGGGTTTTGCCATGTTGGCCAGGCTGGTCTCAAACTCCTGGCCTCAAGTGATCCGCCCACCTCAGCCTCCCAAAGTGCTGGGATTACATGGGTGAGCCACTGCGCCAGCCCCTGCCTCAGTTTCGTCTGAGGAGGAAGGGGCTCTGCAGCACCCCTTCTTCAGGGCTGAGCTTGGGGTCTGGTAGGGGTCCCAGCTCTGCTCACTCATCCTCTCCCCTGAACAGGGCTTCACCCCCATGACGGTGCCAGACCTTCTCCGCGGAGCAGTGTTTGTGAGTGAGGCCTCTCCGCTTCCCTCGCCCACCTGGGTGTCAGGCCCTGCCGTGGGTGCCCGAGGCAGGGAAACCTGAGGAGACCGCCCTGGGGCTGGGTTGAGGGGGCCAGGCCATACCAGGGAGGCCAGGGCAGCTCCAGATGTTTTCAGGGGAGGAGCTGGGGTTGGGACTGTAAAACGAGAGGCCAGGGTTACCTGTCCCCTGATCCCTGTGGCCTGGCCTCCTCCCCCAGGAAGGCTGTGGGATGACACCAAATGCCAACCCATCCCAAATTTACAACATCGACCCTGCCCGCTTCAAAGATCTCAACCTGGCTGGAACAGCGGAGGTGGGGCTTGCAGGTGAGGACCTGTGTGGGTGGTGGGGAGGAGCAGGAGTGATGTGGAAGGACAACTGGGAGCGTCCAGGGAGCACTGGGGGGGATCACCTGCCCCGAGCAGCTCAGCAGCCCCAGGGCCAACATGTACGGCTGTGTAGGTTGTTTACTGTACAGCAGTACAGTGATAATCCAGCCCCGGGCCTTGACCTGGGGTTGCATCCACCAGAGGGAGTGCCTCTTAATCTTCCAAAGGCTTCCTCTGGGCACTGGCAGCCCTGGCTCACCCTGTGGTCTCTCCTCCCAGGCTACTTCATGGACCACACCGTGGCCTTCAGGGACCTGCCAGTCAGGTGACACCTGGTTTCCTTAGACCTTGACCCCACCTGTGACAATCAGTCTTCCCTCCTTGACCCGACTTTCCCTGCTCTCTGCCAGGATGGTTTGCTCCAGCACCTGCTACCGGGCAGAGACAAACACGGGACAGGAACCCCGGGGGCTGTATCGAGTACACCACTTCACCAAGGCTGGTGTCGCTGGGACTAAACGGGGCTGGGGTGGGGGGCCACCCCAAGAGCTCAGAGCCTCCTGACTCCTGTGCCCTCTGTCCCAGGTGGAGATGTTTGGGGTGACAGGCCCTGGGCTGGAGCAGAGCTCACAGCTGCTGGAGGAGTTCCTGTCCCTTCAGATGGAGATCTTGACAGAGCTGGGCTTGCACTTCCGGTGTGGAGAGGGGCCAGGGATCCAGGGATGGCAGGGGTGGGGTAGGGGAGGGACAAGGGGCTGGCCAGCTGCTCTTCGCTCTGGAACCACCTCTCCAGCCCCCTCGTTGCCCCCATTTTCCTGTACAAGGATTACAGGAGCATATACAGGATCCCAATCTGTCTGCCGTGTGCCGGTCGTCCCTCACAGGACTGTAACAGAAGCACGAACAGTGCACGGTGTGCCAGAGTGGAGACCCGGGCCCCTTTCCTCCTGCTGCTCCCCCTCTCTCTGGGCCACTGCCTCATCTGTGCAACCCAAGATACTTTTTCACCTCCCAGTGGAGAGTGGGGGTGGGAAAAGGGGGAGCCAGAGGTTGGGAACCCCACTTCCTCTCACCCTGTCAGTCACACGCAGCTTTCAAGAGAGGCTGAGAAATGTGGACTTCTTTTCTGGGTGACCCATTGTAAAAAACTGGGAGCGTAAGCCGGGTGTGGTGGCTCACGCCTGTAATTCCAGCACTTTGGGAGGCCATGGCAGGAGGATTGCTTGAGGCCAGGAGTTCAAGACCAGCCTGGGCAACACAGCGAGAGCTCGTCTTTACGTTTTTTAAAATTAGCCGGGTATGGTGGCACACACCTGTGGTCCCAGCTACTTGGGAGACTGAGGCAGGAGAATTGCTTGAACCCAGGAGGTGGAGGCTACAATGAGCTGTGATCATGCCACTGCACTCTAGCCTGGGGCAACAGAGTGAGACCCTGTCTCTAAAAAAAAAAAATAAAGGCCAGGCACGGTGGCTCACACCTACAATCCCAGCACTTTGGGAGGCCGGGACAGGCGGATCACCTGAGGTCAGGAGTTCAAGACCAGCCTGGCCAACATGGTGAAACCCCATCTATACTAAAAATATAAAAATCAGCCGGGCATGGTGGCACACACCTGTAATCCCATCTACTCAGGAGGCTGAGACAGGAGAATCACTTGAACCCTGAAGGTGGAGGTTGCAGTGAGCCGAGATCGCGCCACTGCTCTCCAGCCTGGGCAACAGAGCCAGACTCCGTCTCAAAAAAAAAAAAAAAACCGAGGGTGCCTAGAAGGTGCAAATGTGTGAATGGCCACTGTGAAGAGCCGGTGGACCCTGCCACGTGCCTTTTTCCCCTCCCATCAACCTCTTTTGTGCTTCCCCCTCCATGTACCACCTTCTCCATAACCACCCCTGGCCTCACAACTCTCTCCTTTGGCACTATCGTCTCCTTTTTTTTGTTTGTTTTTTTGGAGTAGATGAGGTCTCCTTATGTTGCCCAGGCTGGTCTCAAACTCCTGGGCTTTTTCCTGCTTTTTGGCTGCCTTCTCTTCCATCGTTTCCATTTGTTCCTCTTGCTCCTCCTCTCACCCGCTGACCTTCCCCACACCTTCGTCCTTGACCGCAGGGTCCTGGATATGCCCACCCAAGAACTGGGCCTCCCCGCCTACCGCAAGTTTGACATTGAGGCCTGGATGCCAGGCCGAGGCCGCTTTGGAGAGGTGAGCCCTGTGCCGCTGGGGACGGGGTGGGCAGGAGGACAGGCCTGCCCCCCATCCCTGATCCGCTCAGCCTGCCGCTCCTCCACCCCAGGTCACCAGTGCTTCCAACTGCACAGACTTCCAGAGCCGCCGCCTCCACATCATGTTCCAGACCGAGGCTGGGGAGCTGCAGTTTGCCCACACGGTGAGGCCCGCACAGCCTCCTGCCCGCGTGCCCTCGCCCGCAGCCTCTGCCGCCCTAGACCCACCCACCTTGGCTCCTCCCCGGGCTCAGCTTGGGGTGGGCGCCAGTTCCGAGCATGGCTGTCTCACAGGTGAACGCCACCGCCTGTGCTGTCCCCCGCCTTCTCATCGCGCTCCTGGAGAGTAACCAGCAGAAGGTGAGGGGCTGAGGGGCCCACCCAGAGAGGCAGCTCAGCGCCGGGGAGGGCTGGGGCATCTGCAGTGTCCTGAGGTCTGCTCTGTCCCCAGGACGGCTCAGTGCTCGTGCCCCCTGCCCTCCAGTCCTACCTCGGCACTGATCGGATCACAGCCCCTACCCACGTGCCTCTCCAGTACATCGGCCCCAACCAGCCCCGGAAGCCTGGGCTGCCTGGCCAGCCTGCTGTAAGCTAAGAACCCACCCACAGCAGCCCTCGGGGGTGTCACTGCTTCCTGGAGTTCAGGAGACCCCGGACACCTGGGACCTGTGTTGCTGAGCCCGTCCTGACATCTGTGTTCTTCCTGTCAGCTCCACGCCCGGGCCCCTGGACCACGGGGTCCACCTCTCCTCTGTCCTTGCTGCCTCAGAGTCAGTCACTGACCCTGTTATCATTGAGGGTCCCAGTGGGAAGCAGGACGTCTGGGCTTTACGGTTCTAGGGACAGGAGAAGCAGAGGAAGAGGCTTCCATCCCTCCTTCCTTCTTTCCTCCTACAGTGCTGAGCAAAAAGTCCCCAATAAATGGTCAGGACAAAGGCCTCTGTGGATCTGTGAACAAGGGAGATGCCTGGCTCTCTAGGAGCTGCTGAGCAGCCGCTTGGAGGCACTATCCTCAAAGGGTCTGTGGCTGCAAAGACCATGGCTGGAAGTGCCTAGCCACCCCCCAGTGCACATGGAGGCTGGCCTGGGGCCACCAGGGTTGCTGAGAGGATGCTGAATTCTCTCCCCTTCCTCTGGGACAAGCCAGAACAGAGTCACCCTCTGAGGGTTCCTTCGAGCTGACCCCAGCCCCAGCCTCACCCCTCAGTCCCCAGCTCCCCATGCAGCTGTCCCTTCTGCAGCTCCAGGTAGGGGCCCAGTGGGCATCCCAAACTCAGGGAAGCTACCTGGTCCTCTGATCACTTGGCCTGCACCTGCTCCTCCTCAGGCATGCCCATCCCAGCACATTCTCCCGGCTGCCCAGGCCACAGCCCTTCGGGTTAGCCTCGACTTTTATCTCATATCCACTCCACTTCATTAGCAACCCTGGCAACACCGCCTTCAGAATATTTCCAGAATCTGGCCAGGTACAGTGGCTCACGCCTGTAATCCCAGCACTTTGGGAGGCTAAGGCAGGCGGATCACCTGAGGTCAGTTCAAGACCAGCCTGGCCAACATGGTGAAACCCCATCTCTACTAAAAATACAAAAATTAGCTGGGCGTGGTGGCGCACGCTTGTAATCCCAGCTACTCGGGAGGCTGAGGCAGGAGAATCACTTGAACCTGGGAGGCGGAGGTTGTGGTGAGTGGAGATCGCGCCACTGCACTCCAGCATGGGCTACAGTGCGAGACTCCATCTAAAAAAAAAAAGAGCTGGGTGTGGTGGCGGGCACCTGTAATCCCAGCTGCTTGGGAGGCTGAGGCAGAATTCTTGAACCCGGGAGGCAGAGGTTGCAGTGAGCTGGGATCACACTACTACACTCCAGCCTGGGTGACAGAGCGAGACTCTGTCTCAAAAAAGATTTCCAGACTCTGCCTACTGTTCTCTCCTCCCTGACCCCACCTGGGCCCTGCTCCCCGATCCCTCCCCTTTGGTTAACCCTGGAAGCCTCTTCACTGGCTCCCTGTTCTCCATCCTCGCCACACAGCCAGAGGGACCTGTGAGCACCTCAGCTGGGTGTCCCACCCCTGCTCAGAGGTCTCCTGTGGCTTCGTCTCAGAGTAAAAGGGTAAAGTGGTCATCGAGGCCCCTAAGACCCCACCTGAGCTGCTCCACCTTCCTCTTCAGCCCATCTTTCTGTCTTGTTTGGTCCACCCGACCCGCCTTGACATTGAAACTCTCCAAACTCCTTCCTGACTCGTGCACTTACATTGGTGAGTCTCCCTCTCTGGCTGTCTCTCCCCTAGATGGTGTGTGCTGGCCTCCATCTTGTCACTCAGGCCTTAGCTCAAATGTCACCTCTTCCAAGAAGTCTTCCGTGACCACAGTAAAACCCCCCCAGCACTCAGTACCTACATCTGAGATACTTTTTTTTTTTTTTTTTTTTTTTTTTGAGATGGAGTCTCACTGTCCCAGGCTGGAGTGCAGTGGTGTGATCTCGGCTCACTGCAACCTCTGAGAGATTCTTTTGCCTCAGCCTCCCGCATAGCTGGGATTACAGGGAGGTGCCACCATGTCCGGCTAATTTTTTGTATTTTTAGTAGAGGCAGGGTTTCGCCATGTTGACCAGGCTGGTCTTGAACTCCTGACCTCAGGTAATGCACCTGCCTTGGCCTCCCAAAGTGCTGGGATTACAGGCATGAGCCACCACGCCCAGCCTGAGATACTATATTTTTGATGCATTTCTGCCTTCTTTCCTTAATATGTATTGATGTGTGTCAAATACCAGCTCCAGGAGGGCAGAGGTATCCACCCATTGGCTCAGGGCTGTAGCCTCAGGTCTAAAAGAGGACCTGGCATGTAGTAGATGCTCAACAAAAATTACTGCACTGAAGATGCTTGGACGTGTGCCGTTCCCAGTACCAGGCACTTCCCTAAACACTGTACACACAACTATTTAATCCTCACTGTCCAACTGTAGAGTAGGTTGTCACCAACCCTATTTACAGTGAGGAAACAGGTCTTAGAGAAGTTAAGCGGTTATCCTGGGCTGCACAGCTGGCACGTGGTGGAGCTGGGGCTTAGGCCAGAAGCCAACTGCAGCCTCTGAGGAAGCGGGTTTATGAGACCCACTCTCAGCCAAGCATAGTGGCTCACCCACGCCTGTAGTCCCAGCACTTCAGGAGGCCCAAGTGGGCGGATCATTTGAGGTCAGGAGTTTCAGACCAGTCTAGGCAACATAGCAAGAACCCCTCTCTACAAAAAATGAAAAAAATTACTGTGGCATGATAATGCAAGCCTGCAGTCCCAACTGATCTGGAGGCTGAGGCAGGAGGATCCCTTGTGTGAGAGTTTGAGGCACTGCACTCCAGCCTGTAACAAGACCCTGTGAGAAAACAGGCCCAGGAAGGGAAGGAGTTGCCTGGGGACCATCTGTGAGTGGCTGCTTCTGGGTTCCCACCCCGGTCCACCTGCCAGCGTGGAGGGCGAGTGTACCAGACCCTGCTGCTCTGGGAAGAGATCCCCCCAGGCCAGGTGTGGCACCTCAGGCCTGTAATCCCAGCACTTTGGGAGGCCCAGACGAGAGGATCACTTGAGCCCAGGAGTCTGAGACCAACCTGGCCAACAAAGTGAGACCCTGCCTCTACAAAAAATAAACATTATTAGCCAGATATGGTGGTACACGCCTGTGGTCCCAGCTACTCGGGAGGCTGAGGTGGGAGGATCAAGTGTGTTCAGGAGCCTGCAGTGAGCTGTGATGGCGCCACTGCACTCCAGCCTGGGTGACAGAGCCAGACCGTGTCTCAAAAAAACGAAAAAAGGGAGGCCTCCACCATCTGCGCTGAGCTCCTGGCCTGA
Organism: Homo sapiens; assembly: GCF_000001405.40. Classification (NCBI taxonomy): domain Eukaryota; kingdom Metazoa; phylum Chordata; class Mammalia; order Primates; family Hominidae; genus Homo; species Homo sapiens. The sequence continues at coordinate 322,034 of NW_014040929.1, read as the reverse complement.
AGCCTCGAGGGGAGCGCGTGCAGGGCGGAGGCCTCATGAATAATTGAGGGTCTCAGGCAGGCAGCCGCCCCGCAGATGTCGCCCCGCCGCGGGCGGGGAGGGGGCGGGGGTGACATCATTTCCTCCCCTGCAGGGTCCCCGCGTGGGTTATAAGGCGCTGCAACCCTGGCCCGCACAGCGCCTTGGACCCGTTGGACGCCCACCATGCCGCCCCGAGGGCCAGCCTCTGAGCTGCTGCTGCTGCGGCTGCTCCTGCTGGGGGCGGGTGAGTGCGGGACCTGCCGAGTGCGGGACCTGCCAGGGGCCGGGGAGCGGGGACTCCAGTGGGAGGGGGCAGGCAGTGCACCCAGTGGAGAGGCTTCAGGGGCCGAGCCTCCAGCGGGGGACAGTACACCCGCCGGGTGGGATGGGGAGGGGATGTGTGGGGACCGGGACGCCCATGGAGCTGGGGTCGGTACCGGGGACAGCAGCCAGGGCGGCAAAGCCCAGTGCCATCTCCTTTCTCCACAGCCACCGCTGCTCCCTTGGCACCGAGACCCTCCAAGGAGGAGGTGAGGAGTGTGGAGGCCTTGCCCTGCCTCACCTAGCTGGGGCCCTGCCCTCCCTGCACAGCCTGCCCCATGATCCTCATTGCCCTCAAACCAGCTGCTCTCCTCCCCATCTCCCCTGCCCTCAACCTCCCCTCTGACCCGGCACCCCTGCCCCCCAGCTGACCCGCTGTCTGGCAGAGGTGGTCACAGAGGTGCTGACCGTGGGCCAGGTCCAGAGAGGACCCTGCACTGCTCTTCTCCACAAGGGTAAGGAGGCCCCGGGCCCCACTTGCCCTCCACAACCCCATGGGACCCTACCCTACCCCACCCAGGGTCCTGCCCAGGTGCCCACATGCTCTCCCACCCAGGCTACCTGGAGGAAGAGGTCCTCATTCCCAGAGCCCTGTTGCCTGGACCAGCGGGGCACTGCCCAGCATTCACACCTGACAGAGCCTGGCCACCAGCAACACCCTTGTGGTTCCCTGCAGAGGGGCCAGATGGGGCAGGGAACATCCCCTCCCAGGTGGGATGAAATAGGACCCTCCCCCTGTAGTCTGGGCAGCCCCCCTGTGAGACCTTCGGCAGGGCCCAGAACTCCTCAAGGCCTCAGTTTCCCAATTCAAACTCCTGACCTCAGGTGATCGGCCGCCACGGCCTCCCAAAGTGCTGAGATTACAGGCGTGAGCCTCCATACTCGGCCTCAGTTTCCCAATTGGATGCTTAGAGAGTGTCCTTTCCCTTTCTGCCAGAGTTGTGCGGGACAGAGCCCCACGGCTGTGCGTCCACCGAGGAGAAAGGCCTGCTGCTTGGGGATTTCAAGAAGCAGGAGGCTGGGAAGATGAGGTCCAGCCAGGAGGTGAGGGATGAGGAAGAGGAGGAGGTAGCAGAGAGGACCCACAAGTCTGAGGTCCAGGAACAAGCCATCCGCATGCAAGGGCATCGCCAGCTCCACCAGGAGGAGGACGAGGAGGAGGAGAAGGAGGAGAGGAAGAGGGGGCCCATGGAGACCTTTGAGGACCTGTGGCAGCGGCATCTAGAGAATGGAGGGGACCTCCAGAAGCGGGTGGCAGAGAAGGCCAGTGACAAAGAGACGGCCCAGTTCCAGGCAGAGGAGAAGGGGGTGCGGGTGCTGGGCGGGGACCGCAGCCTGTGGCAGGGGGCCGAGAGAGGCGGAGGAGAGAGGCGCGAGGACTTGCCCCACCACCACCACCACCACCACCAGCCAGAGGCTGAGCCCAGGCAGGAGAAGGAGGAGGCTTCGGAGAGGGAGGTGAGTAGGGGGATGAAGGAGGAACACCAACACAGTTTGGAGGCAGGGTTGATGATGGTCAGTGGAGTCACAACTCACAGCCACCGGTGTTGGCCCTGCACCACCAGATCCATCACTAGTGGATCACAGTGGCCAAGACTGACACCACGACTGGCTAACAACTTCCGTGCAAGGCCTTTACCTTATACTTCCACACTACTGTATGGACTACAGCAACCAAGATGGCACCATTGCACAGAAGCAAGCCACCATCACTAGCAAGTTGGCCACTGTGAAAAGTGGCTGCTGTGCCTACTTCACTAGGTGACAGACAGACACCATTGCTGGGTCATGGAAAACAAGATGTCACCATGATTGGTGGCACCAAAAGTGCCGTAACAGGGTGGGCATGGTGGCTCACACCTGTAATCCTAGGGAGGGTTAATCCTTTCAGAGGCCAAGGTGGGAGAATCCCTTGAGGCCAGGAGTTTGAGACCAGCGTGGGCAACATAGTGAAACCGTGACTCTACAAATAATTTAAAAAATTAGCCAGCAATGGTGGCGCACGCCTGTGGTCCCAGCTCTCAGGAGGCTGAGGTGGTGGGATTGCTTGAACCCGGGAGTTTGAGGCTGCATTGAGTCATGATTGTGCCACAGCAGTCCCGCCTGGGCCACAGAGCAAAACCATCTTAAAAAAAAAAAAAAAAAATGGCTGGGCATGGTGGTTCGTGCCTGTAATCCCAGCACTTTGGGAGGCTGAGGCGGGAGGATTACCTGAGGTCAGGAGTTCGAGACCAGCCTGGCCAACATGGTGAAACCCTGTCTCTACTAAAAATACAAAAAATCAGCCAGGCATGGTGTTGCATGCCTGTAATCCCAGCTACTCGGGAGGCTGAAGCAGGAGAATCACTTGAACTCGGGAGGTGGAGGTTACAGTGAGCCGAGATCGTGCCACTGTACCCCAGCCTGGGTGACAGAGCGAGACTCCATCTTAAAAATAAAAATAAAGCGCCATCACGAGGTGCTCATCCCAGGCACCTTTGCCAGTGCCAAGCTACTGCTGTTGGCTGTGGTCGCGTTAGCCAGCACCACTCTTCCGGGGTTATGGCAATCAGCATGGTCACCATCGCGGTCCACGACGATCAGAACGACCGCTGCTGGATGCCACTATGAGAACCGACATGGCCCACAATCACAGTGACCGAGGTGGCCTGCCTTTGAAGGTGGGTGCTGACTACCCCGTTTCTGACCCCACCAGGAAAAGGAGGTGGAGCAGCTGGAGCACTTGAGAGACGAACTGAAGAAGGTGACAGAGACGCTGGGGGAGCAGCTCAGGAGGGAGGGCTGACCCCTACCTCAGTCCCTCCTTCCTCCTGACACACCCTGTGGCTTAGGACTGTTGACCCCGAAGCCTCCACCTCACCTAGCACCCCACGCCACCCCTACCCAAACAGGGGAGGAGGCGGACGTGCCTTGGAACCACACCCAAGGAGGTGAGTCTGAGCTGGGCCGGGGGCTGGGCTCAGCCCTGACACAGGAAGCACCCCCACACCTATGCACTCCCACTCCAACCCTTCTGAGTGAATAAAGCACAAAGAAACGCACCCTGCCTCCGTGAGCAGCACTTGATGTGACAGGGATGGGCCCCAGAAGGACCCGGAGGACTGGGAAGACAAGATCAGTCTGGTCTCTGGTTGTCAGAACTAGGGTTTTGTTTATTAAACTGGAAATTATATTAACAATGAAACAAATCACACGGGGCGGGGGTCGTCAGGAAGAGGTTTTGAGGCTGGGGTGGGAGGCAGCCGGGTTTGGCTGCGGCTGCTGTGAACCACAATGTCGTCGTATTCATCCTGGGGGCAAAGGGGACCAGGCAGAGGGGCTCAGGCGGCTGTCACTTTGCCCACCACCCATGTCCTCATAGAGCACCCTAAGAATTAGGTCTCGCCTCAAAGCCCAAGTTCCCCTGCTCCTGGCTCAACCTCCCAGTTTCCTAGCTCTCAGAACTCCATTTTCTTTTCTTTCTTTTTTTTTTTTTTTTTTTTAAGATGGAGTCTCGCTCTGTTGCCCAGGCTGGAATGCAGTGGCGTGATCTAGGTTCACTGCAACCTCCACCTCCCAGGTTCAAGCAATTCTCCTACCTCAGCCTCCCAAGTAGCTGGGATTATAGGCATGCGCCACCACGCCCAGCTAATTTTTGTATTTTTAGTAGAGACAGGGTCTTGCCATGTTGGCCAGGCTGGTCTCGAACTCCTGACCTCGTGATCTGCCTGCCTCGGCCTCCCAAAGTGCTGGGATTACAGGCGTGAGCCACCGCACCTGGCCAGAACTCCATTTTCAAGGTCATTTCTACAGACCAATTTCTAGCCAGCCGCCACTCCAGAGTTTCGGCAACTGAGCTGGCCCTCCTCCACCCCTTCCCTCTGCCTTTACCCAAATTCCTCCGCACCCATCATCCAGCACCGCGCCTTGCCCAAGGACGGATCTGTATTGCTGGGTTCTCTGACTATATCTCTCCCCACCGCTGGCTCGGGTCCTGCCCCAGCACTGCCGGTGTTCAAATCACTGCCACCCAAGGTTTTCTTTTCGCAGTGTGAGTTCTCCAATTCTTGCTGCCTAAAATCACCCCCAGCGCTACCACCCACCCCCGCTGTGTTCACCAATCACTGCGACCAACGCCTTTTCTCCACCCCTGCCTGAGTTCTACCTTTGCCACTGCCTTAGTTTTTCAGCCACTTCTGCCCAAGCTCTTCCCACCACCCCTGTCCAGGTCTCTCCTGACTAGTGCCCCGTGTCACTGGCGCTGCTGCCTGAGTTCTCTAACAGCAGCCCAAGGTCGGTGCCTAATTATCTTCTTGGGCTTCTTGCCTGCCGGTCTATCCTGACCCCCCAGCTGGGCTGCCCTGTCTCTCCTCCTGACTCACGCCCTCGTCTCCGCTGTCGCTGTCGCTACTGCTGCTGCAGGGGCCGGATTTCTCGTCCTCGCCCTCGGGCTCAGGGGCTCCGTGTGCACGGAGGAGGCGGGCGAGGATGGGGTTGGGCCGGAGCATGGCACTGCCGAGTGGGGTGCGGCCACCGTACATGCGGGCAGCAGGGTTCGCGCCTGCCCTCAGGAGAAGCTCCAGCACATCGGCTGCCTGGGCCTCCACTGCCAAATGAAGGGGGCTCCGGCCGCACGTGGGCTCCTGTGGGGGTGCAACAGAAAGGTCAGAGGGCCCGAAGAGGGGACAAGCCCCCTCCCGCCGACGGCATCTTCCCCGAGGTTGGGGCTCACCGGTTTGTCAAGGTCAGCTCCAGCATCTCGGAGCAGCCGGACCATCTCCACATCTTTGTGGATAACGGCCACGTGGAGTGGGGTGTGGCCTGGGGACAGAGTGATTGGCGTCAGATGATGAGGTGAGGGCCCCCCCCACCCCACCGTGCTTTGATCCTGGGGGAGGGTCATGTGGCGTGAGGGTGATTAGGTTTGGGGGCTGGTTCCTGAATTCTTGGGTATGGCAAAGAGGTACCTGGGTACCAAATGCCTATCTCAGATGGCCTGAGCTTGCTGGCAAGTGCTAGTGCCTGAGTTGTTTGAAGCCTGGGGCCCGCGGGTAAACAGCCTGGGGTCTGTGGACAGGGAGCCTGGATTTTGGGGCCAGGAGGAGACCCAAGTCTCTGCTCTTATCACTCAAAGGACCTGAGCTGGCACGCTATTTCACACCTGTAATCCCAGCACTTTGGGAGGCCAAAGCAAGAGGATCACTTGAGCTCAGGAGTTCAAGAAGCTGCCTGGGCAACATGGCAAGACGTCTCTACTAAAAATAAAAAATAAAGGCCAGGCACAGTGGCTCACGCCTGTAATCCCAGCACTTTGGGAGGCTGAGGCGGGTGGATCACGAGGTCAGGAGATCGAGACCATCCTGGCTAACATGGTGAAACCCCATCTCTACTAAAAATACAAAAAATTAGCTGGGCATGGTGGCGGGCGCCTGTAGTCCCAGCTACTCGGGAGGCTGAGGCAGGAGAATGGTGTGAACCCAGGAGGCGGAGCTTGCAGTGAGCTGAGATGGCGCCACTGCACTCCAGCCTGGGCAACAGAGTGAGACTCCATGTCAAAAAAAAAAAAAAAAAAAAACCTTAAATTAAGGTTCCTGCCCAGGCACGGTGGCTCACACCTGTAATCCCAGCACTTTGGGAGGCCATGGCGGGCAGATCACCTAAGGCCAGGCCAGGAGTTCAAGACCAGCCTGGTCAACATGGTAAAACCCCGTCTCTACTAAAAATACAAAAATAAGCTGGGCATGGTAGCATGTGCCTGTAATCCCTGTAATCCCAGCTACTCGGGAGGCTGAGGCAGGAGAATCACCTGAACCTGGGAGGTGGAGGTTGCAGTGAGCCAAGATCACGCCACTGAACTCCAACCTGGCAACAGAGTGAGACTGTCTCAAAAAAAAAAAAAAAAAAAAAAAAGGTACCAAGTAGCTGAAAAGCCTGTGACCTGGGGGCGAGAGGCAGGCCCTGAACACTGGGTCCTGAATGACGTCAGTCCATCTGAGGAGGGGTCTGGTCTCAGGTGGCTGGGCTTATAGGCAGGGGAGCAGAAACTTGGATGTCAGGGCTGTGGGCAGATGAGCCCTTCTTCCCATGAGGCTGAGGAGGGCTGTCTCTGAACCCTGCTGCCCATTGCTGGGAGCCTGGGGTGCCAGAGTTTCACAGAGGGCCTGAGCTCTGCATTCCCCGGTCCTGGGTAGGGTAGGGGTCTGCAATACACTCTGCAGGTGGGGAGCCCGGGGGCCCGACAACTGGATCCTGGCAGCTCTGGGTCTGTGGGTGACAGGTCTGCATCCCAAGTGACCTGGGGCCTCCAGGTGGGGGTCCTGGGTCCTACATATCCAATTCTCAATCATCTGGGCCCTGAGTGGAGGTCCCTGGTCCCGATGTGTGGGCTCCTGAAGCCTAGGCATGATTTCCCAAGGAGCTCAGTCTCAAATCAGGGAAGCTGAGCCCAGGGCCAGGTGCTCTCGCCTAGCCCAGGAGCTGAGTCCTTCCCTGGTGACGACCCTCACCCTCGTAGTTTTCAGCCTCCAGCTGCAGCTTCCAGTCCTCCTCACTCTCCTCTTCTTCCTTCTCCAAGTCGGAATCGGGGTACAAGGCGACAGGGGTATGGTTGGTGTCGGGAGTACGGTCAGGGCCCTGAGCGAGGTAGGTGTCGGGGGCTTCCCTGGGGCGCCGGGGGCGGGGCTGAAGCAGGGCACGGGCACAGGCGTGTGCCCCCACACGGCAGGCCAGGTGCAGCGCCGTGTGGCCCCTACGCTCCGCCACACACAGCCCGGCGCCTGCTGCGTACAGCTTCTCCACCGTGGATGTCTCCCCCAGGATGGCTGCCAGGTGCAGGGCTGTCTGCAGAAGCAGAGGACAGGCGGTAGGGAGTCACACTGGGAACCCTGGACCCCAAGCCCTACACCATCCCTCGTGGCTCACCTGGCCTAGGTCATTCTGCAGGTCCATGTACTCAGTGCCGGCCGAGAAGCCTAGAAGAAAATCCAGGAAGGGTTCATGCTGATGAATCACAGCCAAGTGCAGTGCCCTGGGGACAAAGACCGGGGTGAGAGGGCAAAGTTCAAGTCCTCTTGCATTCCTTCATTGAACAAACATGGGGCGCCTACTGTATGCTAGGCCTTGTGACCACAGTTCTGGAACCCCCTGTCAGCTATCTGGGAGGTCAGAGGTCAGAGTTTCATCAGCAAATTCGTGGAATCAATGTTTATTCAGTGGGATTTCCACTTCTGCCCAAAATGAAGTAACATGGACCAGAATTCACTCCCACGTGAAACAAACAAACAAACAAACAAGAGTCAGACGAAATACGGTATATGAAGCAACAGTGTTGAAGACACTGGACATCGTGCAATGAATCACAGTGACCCCTGAAAGACAGGAAACACGAGGTGGGCCCCACACTTGACTGCCACAGCTTATTGTCTTGAGAGAGTTTCAAAGCCACGGTGCAGAGAGGGGAATCCAAGCAGAGCGCATCAGGTTGTCTGAGGTCAGGAGATGGATATGGAGGAAGAGTCTGTGGAGGCCAGCGTGGCTAGAGTCACAGGACAGAGTACAAAACAGAGTTGCCAAAGGAGAGATTGCTGGGGAACTGCAGGAGGTTCTCTTGTGTATTCCGGAGAATACGGATCAGCCATGCCTGTGAGTCTGTGGGGATGGGAAAACCATCCAAAAGGATTTCAGAAAAGTGCTCGTTACTCACACAGGGCCAGGAATAGTGAGTGTTCCCACCAGCCAGGCTGGAAAAACATCATCACAGGCTATCGGGTGGGATACTCAGGAAGGTCTTGCCTCAATAGTGGGGAATAATTAACTGTAGATGGGGCACTGCTCAACACCCACCTAACAAATCATAAAAGCAAAACTGGAAAGACTCAAACTACTTCCGAGTAATTTAACTCCATCCCAGAATAATATTCAAGAATATTTATTTATTTATTTATTTATTTATTTATTTTAATTTTTATTTTTTGAGAGAGAGTCTTGCCCTGTCGCCCAGGCTGGAGCGCAGTGACACGATCGTGGCTCACTGCAACCTCCACCTCCTGGGTTCAAGCGATTCTTCTGCCTCAGCCTCCCGAGTAGCCGGAACCACAGGTGCGTGCCACCACACCTGGCTAATTTTTGCAGTTTTTAGTACAGACAGGGTTTCACCATGTTGGCCAGGCTGATCTTGAACTCCTGACCTCGTGATCCACCCGCCTTGGCCTCCCAAAGTGCTGGGATTACAGGTGTGAGCCACGGCGCCCGGCCTCAAGAATATTTATAGGAATACAGAATTCTCCAGACTAACAAGGCAAAATTCACAATGTCTGGCACCTAACCAAAGATTATCAGGCATGTAAAGAAGCAGGAAAACATGATCCATAATAGGAACCATCAGTGAATTGAAACTGACCCAGAAATGACAGAGATGTTAGAATTTGCAAACAAGAATATTAAAACAGTTCATTATGCTGGGCACGGTGGCCCACACCTGTAATCCTGGCACTTTGGGAGGCCAAGGCGGGCAGATCACTTGAGGTCAGGAGTTTGAGACCAACCTGGCCAACACGATGAGACCCTGTCTCTACAAAAAATACAAAAAAAATTTAGCCAGGCATGGTGGCATGCGCCTGTAATCCCACCTACACAGGAGGCTGAGGCAGGACAATCATTTGAACCTGAGAAATGGAGGTTGCAGTGAGCTGAGATCGTGCCACTGCACTCCAGCCTGGGCAACAGAGTGAGACTCCGTCTCAAATAATAATAATAAAATAAAATAAATTTCTTTTACTCTATGTGAAATGGCATAATATCACTTTAAGGTAGCCCATGATAACCTAAAGTTGTAAACTATCAACCCTACAGCAGGAGTCAGCAAACTTTTTCTGTAAGGAGCCAGATAACTATTTTAGTCTTTGTAGGTCATATGGTTTCTCTTTTTGGTTTTGTTTTTCTTTTTCTTTTTTTGTTTGTTTGTTTTGTTTTTTTGAGATGGAGTCTCGTTCTGCTGCCCAGGCTGGAGTGCAGTGGCGTGATCTCAGCTCACTGCAACCTCCGCCTCCCGGGTTCAAGCGATTCTCCTGCCTCTCAAGTAGCTGGGATTACAGGCGCTCGCCACCACTGCCAGCTAACTTTTTGTATTTTTAGTAGAGACAAGGTTTCACCATGTTAGCCAGGATGGTCTCGATCTCCTGACCTTGTGATCTGTCCGCCTTGGCTCCCAAAGTGCTGGGATTACAGGCATGAGCCACTGAGCCCAGCAGCCATACAGTTTCTTTTGACTACTCGACTCTGCTGTGTCAGTGCAAAAGCAGCCACTGACAATATGTAAATGAGTGAGCTTGCTTGCGTTCCAAAAGAACTTTATTTATGGAGCTTGAAATATGAATTTCATACACTTTCACTTGCCATATAATATTATTATTCTTTTGATTTTTAGAAACTGTTTAAAAATGTAAAGACCATTCTTAGCTCACAACCATACAAAAGCCATATAATATTATTATTCTTTTGATTTTTAGAAACTGTTTAAAAATGTAAAGACCATTCTTAGCTCACAACCATACAAAAGCAGATGGCTGGCTAGATTTTGCCTGGAGGCCATAGTTTGCCAACCCCCACCTTAAAGCAACCACTAACATAACAAAAAGAGGAATATCTAATAAGCAAACAAAAGAAATAAAATGAGGCCGGGCGCGGTGGCTCACGCCTGTAATCCCAGCACTTTGGGAAGCCGAGGCGGGCGGATCACAAGGTCAGGAGATCAAGACCACGGTGAAACCCCGTCTCTACTAAAAATACAAAAAAAATTAGCCAGGCGAAGTGGCAGGTGCCTGTAGTCCCAGCTACTCGGGAGGCTGAGGCAGGAGAATGGCATGAACCTGGGAGGCGGAGCTTGCAGTGAGCCGAGATTGCACCACTGCACTCCAGCCTGGGTGACAGAGCGAGACTCCATCTCAAAAAAAAAAAAAGAAATAAAATGAAAAACACTATACAGAAGGAGCAGGATTGAAAAAAAAGTAACAAAAACTATACCCAATAAAAGGCAAAAAGGAGGGAGGAAAAAGAAAACATAGGTAAGTAGAATATATATAATAGACATGGGATAAATTTACACAATCATATCAATATCAAATTAAATGTAAATGGTCTAAACACTAATTAAAAGGCAGAGACTGTCTGGGCACAGTGGTTCATCCCTGTAACCCAGCACTTTGGGAGGCCAAGGTGGGAAGAATGCTTGAGCTCAAGAGTTTGAGACCACAGCTGCACACAGTGGCTCACACCTGTAATCCCAGCACTCTGAGAGGCCACAGCGGGTGGATCACCTGAGGTCAGGAGTTTGAGACCAGCCTGGCCAACATGGTGAAACTGCTGTTGCTACTAAAAATACAAAAATTAGCCAGGTGTGGGGGCACGTGCCTGTAATCCCAAATTTGGGAGGCTGAGGCAGTAGAACTGCTTAAACCCAGGAGTCAGAGGTTTCAGCGAGCAGAGATAGTGCCACTATACTCCAGCCTGGGTGACAGAACAAGACTCTGTCTCAAAAAAAAAAAAAGAGTTTGAGAACATAGGGGGACAAAAAAATTTAAAAATTTGCCAGGCATGGTGGCATGTGCCTGTGGTCCCAGCTACTCAGGAGGCTGAGGTGCAAGGATCACTTGAGCCAGGAGGTTGTGGCTATAGTAAGCCATGATCATGCCACTGCACTCCAGCCTGGGCGACAGAGTGAGACTTCGTTTCAAAAAAAAAAGTCAGAACAGAGACCAATTGAATAGAAAGTAAAAAAAAATTAATGAAACCAAAATTAATTAATGAAATTTAATGAAAATTAACGAGACTATAAAGCTGGTTGAGATCAATATTCAGTGCCTCCTGGATCAGGCCCTGCTTGCATCACTGGGCATACAGCAGTAAACACAACAGACAAAAAACCCAGTACAATCCCTCATCTGGGCCTTTGCAACTGCAGTTCCTTCTCCTTGAAATGCTCTTATCTTGTTTATCTATTGCCTCATTTTCCTGCTTTATTTTTCTCCAAAGTACTTAACTACCTCTGACTTTATTTCCTTTTCTTACTTTCTATGTTTCTTTCTTTCTGCGTGTCTTTCTTTGTTTCTTCCTGTCTTTCCATTTCTTTCCTTCCTTGTGGTCTTATCAATCTGTTTATTTAGCTCCACTAAAATGTATGCTCCACAAGGGCTTAAGTTTTTGTTTGTTTTCTTCACTGCCTTTATCACTAGCACCTAAACGGAGCCTGGAACGTGGTAATGTGTAAAGAATATTTGTTTAACAGATGAATCCTTGGTCTCATGGAGCTAACATTCTTTTTTTTAATTTTCCTATTTTTTTACTTTAATTAGGAATTCAACATAGAAGAGCTTACATTCTCTCTCTTTGAATTTAAGATTTGAAGAACACTGCTCAGAAGACAGGATCTTAGAGTCAGGGACCAAGTATTAATTTCGGAAATCAAACTCTAGGGCTCAAATCGGGAACTAAGAATCAAAGATCATATTTGGAGGTTAGAAGTCAGGAGAAGCCACAGTTCTAACAGAAGTCTCAGGACTGGAGTCAGGTTTGGGTATCAGTGGATACAATGTGGATTCCAGGAGCTGAGAATCATAGTTCAAGAAAAGAAGGTAAGAAATGATTGGGTTAGGATCATAGCTAGATAGAAGATTGGTTTTGTTAAAAGTTAGGACTCGGGGGTTAGAGGTCAGGAAGTTCAGCATCGGAAGTCAGATTTAGGAGTATGAGGTTAGGAAGCCTCAGGGATCAGAGATTAATGAGGAATGTGACGCCGGGTCCTAGGGCTCCGTTTGGCAGCCTAAGGTTCACTCACGTGTCCCCATCCTCAGTGACGTAGCCGAAGACGAGGGGAGCCCACGACAGCCCCGGGCCCAACTCCGCGCCCAACCCAGGTCCTCCGGGGGCCGCTGCGTCCGGACCCAGGGAGCCCAGGCCGCTGTCGCACCATTCATCTGCGTCGGCAGCTTTTCCCAAGCACGCGACCCCAGCCATGGCCCCCGCCGCCTCAGGGGCCCCCCGCAGTCGCCCGCCTGTAGCTGGGCTTTGCCGGGAGTTCTGGAGCTTCCGCCCTGCGGGAAATTCCCCACCACGCCCCCTGATTCACCCAATGATAATATGCTGAATCGCTCACACCCCGCCCTCGTACTGCATCCTGACCAATCAGAGTATTCGGGAGGACTACAACTCTCTAGCCGTTCCCACATTTTCCGGGCGCCCTTTACCAACATGGCTGCTGACGCCACGCCTTCTGGGACTCGTAGTCCGGTCCTCGCGCGCTTTCTTACCTAACTGGGGCGCTCTGGGTGTTGTACGAAAGCGCGTCTGCGGCCGCAATGTCTGCTGAGAGTTGTAGTTCTGTGCCCTATCACGGCCACTCCCATTTCTGGTGCCGTCACGGGACAGAGCAGTCGGTGACAGGACAGAGCAGTCGGTGACGGGACACAGTGGTTGGTGACGGGACAGAGCGGTCGGTGACAGCCTCAAGGGCTTCAGCACCGCGCCCATGGCAGAGCCAGACCGTGAGTCGGGGATCCGGGTAGGAGGGTCGGGCCGCGCCGGGGCCTGGCTGAATGCTGCAGGCCCCGGGGCCCAAGGGTGGCCGCGGTGGGGCGGGAAGTAGGGAGCGCTTCGGGGAGTGGGATTCTGAGGGCTGTTGCTTAGCGATCTGTATCGCTAGGCTGGTGGGTTTCTGGGTCGCAGTGTGTTCAGGGTTCGTTTACCACATCCACTTGCCAAGTTGCCAATGATCGCGTGTTTCTCGCACCTTGGTTGCTAAGGTCCCTCGCTGCAAAGAACATAAGTTGCCCCGGTCCCGCTTGCTATGGGTACCTGATTGTTAGAGGCAACCAGAGGATGCTGAGGGACCCCTGCTGACCCCTCCTATGGCTTCCCCTTGTTCCGCGCCTCTCCTAAACCTACCGCCTCCACTGCACCACTGCACCTCCCTCCTAAACCTGCCTCCCAGCCAAAGCGTCTCTTCCCTTCTCTTTTCCTTTCTAAACTTCCCTCTGCCTTGTAAATCTAACCCTCCCCGCACACACACTCACACACTGTCGTGTCCTTCCTAACTCCTCCTGAGTGTTCCTTCATGCCCTGAATCCCCTAGGTAGGAGGAGGAGGATCGCTTGAGCCCAGGAATTTGAGGCTGCAGTGAGCTATGATCGCACTATTGCACTCCAACCTGGGTGACATGAGCGAGACCCTTTCTCTAAAAAGTAAAAAAGAAAGAAAGTAAGTCAGGGCCAGAAACAATGGCTCATGCTTGTAATCCCAGTACTTTGGGAGGCCAAGGTGGTTGGATCGCTTGAGCCCAGGAGTTCAAGACCAGCCTGGGCAAAAGCCCCTACTTTCTCCCTGTCCCCCTAAATCTTCCTCTCCAGCCTCTCTGCCCCTCACTAATCACCTCTCCCGGCATCACTTTGCATGTAGATAAGATCTTTTCTCCGTCCCCTCCCTCCCTCTGCTCCATTTTTACCACCATCCCATCCCAGTGTAACTAGGTTGGTGGGTGTTCTTGCCCCCTCACTGACCATTTGAACCCCTTTATTCCCCCCTTAATCGTTCTCCCCACTGTAACCACCTCTGCTCCCCTCCCCCAGCCTCTCACCCTCTGGAGACCCAGGCAGGGAAGGTGCAGGAGGCTCAGGTGAGATGGGGGAAAGGGTGGAGGGGAGGAGAGAGACGGACTTGTTCCACATCCCACACTGGGGGGAGGTGGCAAAGGGGAAACAGTCACCCCAGGGCCCTCGGCTCATTGCCCCAATCCCTCACACCACCCAGTGCAGCTTTCTGGGGAAAGGCAGATTCTGGGGATTGTCAGAGAAGAGTTTCCAGCCTCAAGTCCAGGCCTGTCCTCCCAAACTTTCCTTCTTCCTTGCCACTGCCTGCCATCCCTTCTGAACCACATTTGTCCTGGGACTGGAAGAGACAGGTATCCCATTTGGTCTTGGAACGCACAGATCTCGTGGACAAGTGATGGGAAAAAATGATCTCACAGCGTGATGACGAAAGTAACTCAGGGGGCCAGATGCAGTGGCTTATGCCTGTAATTCCAATAACTCAGGAGACTGAGGCGCGAGGATCGCTTGAGCCCAGGAGTTTGAGGCTGCAGTGAGCTATGATTGCATCACTGCACTCCAGCCGGGGTGAAAGAGCAAGACCCTTTCTCTAAAAAGTAAAAAAGAAAGAAAGTAACTCAGGGCCAGACACAGTGGCTCATGCTTGTAATCCCAGTACTTTGGGAGGCTGAGGTAGGAGGATCGCTTGAGCCCAGGAGTTCCAGACCAGTCTTGGCAACATAGGGAGGCCCCCACCTCTACAAAATATTTAAAAATTAGCCATGTGTAGTGGTGCATGCCTGCATTGCCAGCTACTCAGGAGGCTGAGTTGGGGGAGGATTGCTTAAGCCCAGGAGGTTAAGGCCGTAGTGTGCCTTGACTGTGCCACTGCACCCCAACCGGGGCGACAGAGCAAAACACGGTCTCAAAAAAAAAAAAAGGAAGAAAAGTAAAGAAACTCAGGGTACTGTGGGAGCACAGAGAAAATTTTCTGGGTCAAAGAAGATTCTAGCCAGGCCATTCCCTGGAGGAATCCACAGGCTGGTCTAGCTGTCAGACCAAGATACAGACACAGCATAAGTGAAGAGTGACTTAGAATTTTCTTAGACAAGGTGAGAAATGGTGATCCACACAACAGGTATCGCTTGTGCAAAGACCTGGGGGGCATGAAGGGGTGTGATGTGTTCCATAATTGGGTGGCTGGTGGTGGTCAGCTTGTTATAGTCGTGGTTAGCATTTACTGACGGCTTACTAAAGCTGGGCCCACTGTTTAGTGCCAAACGTGCCTCATCTCAATTTCATCTTCCTGGCATCCCTGTGAAGAGAAACGCCTATCACGGCCATTTTACAGATGCAGAATCTGAGGCAGAGTTGTTAAGTCACTTATCCCCCGTCCCTCGGCTACAGGAGCAGGGAAGGGTTTGAGTCCCCCAGCACTGGGCACGCCACCTGTCAGAGGCTGCCAGGAGAGGTGGACAGGCAGTCTCATAGGAGCTTGAAGGCCCCCGTCAGCACCTCCGGCTCTCCCTTAGGCCAAGCTGCAGACACATGCTGGGCACAGGCCTTCCACACAGCCTCACTGTGTACAGCCTGAAAGAGTGCCAGCCCACCCACACCCCTGAGATTGCCTTTCAGACGTGGGGTGGTGCAGAAGCGGGCATCAGAATACCTCACAAATGCACAGTGGAGCTTTGCTAAGGATATAAGAGCCTCCTGTTAGGCTGTGGCAACTCACTCGCCTGGCTCCCAAAGCACGACCACTGTCAGAGAAAAAGGTTGAATGTTAAAAAGGATCCTCAGTCCCAAAGAGAGAGAGGCGAGGATGTAAAATGCAGCATTGTCCGTCACAGGGCAAAACTGGAAACAGTCCAAATGGCTGTCAGTGGATGGGTTAAATGAACTATGGTTCATCCATACAATCCAATACTATGTAGCTGCTCTGAAAAACGAGGTGAGGCCGGGCACGGTGGCTCACACCTGTAATCCCAGCACTTTGGGAGGCAGGGGGATCACTTGAGCCCAGGAGTTTTGAGACCAGCCTGGGCAACATAGCAAGATGCCGTCTCTTTTTTAAAAAATTATTTTTTAAATTAGGTGGGTCTGTAGCATATTGTTCTGCCGAAAACTCAAGATGTTGTATTGTACTATGACCTATTTCTGTAAAAAATATTAGTTTTATGCAGAGAAAACTGGAGTAATTTCCATTAAGCTTAGCTAACAGTGGTTATCTTTATAAGGGTGGGCTTGGGCAATTACAAGGTGAGTGCCGCAAGTTATATGTTGTTGAAGTATACATGAGTATAATCAAGGTTTTTGCAGAGGTTGTCCAATCTCTCTTTCTCTCTGTCTCTCTCTCTCTCTCATTCTCACTCTCTCTTTCTCTCTCTCTTTTTTTTTGAGACGGAGTCTCGCTCTGTCACCCAGGCTGGAGTGCAGTGGGGTGATCTCGCTGACTGCAACCTCCACCTCCCAGGTTCAAGCGATTCTCCTGCCTCAGCCTCCTGAATAGCTGGGACTACAGACACGTGCCACCATGCCTGGCTAATTTTTTGTATTTTTATTAGACACGGGGTTTCATCATGTTGGCCAGGATGGTCTCGATCTCCTGACCTCGTGATCCACCCACCTCAGCCTCCCAAAGTGTTGGGATTACAGGCGTGAGCCACCGTGCTCAGCCTTTCTCTCTCTTTTTAAATAGAGACAGAGTCTCACTGTGTTGCCCAGGCTGGTCTTGAACTCCTGGCATCAAGCAACCTTCCTGCCTCAGCCTCCCAAAGTGGTGGGATTACAGGCATGAGCCACCACGCCCAGCCGGAGTTGCACAGTCTTAAAAAGCAATTTTTTAAATTGTCGTATGTTCGGAAGGGAGGGTCTTATTCAAAAAGACTTGGACGCAGAGCAGTGAGTATCCGGGGAAGGGAGTTGTCTGAGGTGGTGGCTTGGTCAGAACTGCATTTTGGTGAAATCCATTGCAGGGCCCAGCCGTGGTCCAGCCTGAAGCAGGCATTCATTCCAAGGTAGAGGAGCTCCTGGAGCTCCTGCCAGGAGCCAGACCCTGTTCTCAGTGCTGGGCACCCAGACAAAGTCCCTGCCCTTGTGGACATCCTGGCAATTCCATAGATGTCTGGGAAGACTGCAGAAGCCAGAGAGAAGGGCCTTTGAAGTGGAGAGGGGCGAGCTGACCCAGACAGCCTCACATGCAGGGCAGCAGGGTGGATGGGAGGTGGAGACTGAGGCTGGGAGGCTGGGGGAGGAGGCTGGGGCAGGACCCCCGGAGGAGAGGACAGGCTGGACCAGGTGGAGCGCCGGGGAGGGAAAGGGGGTTGGTGGACAGACCCTTAGGAGGCTCAGCGTACATGCTCTGGAGCTGAAGGGCTGTGGCAGGAGGGCGAGGAGGGAGGCGGGGGCAGGAAACATCTGGCTGATGGGGGGGACAGTACGATCGCATTGAGATGAGGCCTGGGAGGAGGATGGGCTTGGAGGAGATGCCAGGGTCCATTTGGGACATAGTAGGAGTGAGAGGCTGGGGGGCACCTAGGGCAAGGTGTCCAGGAAGCCAGGGAACCCCGGATCTGAGGGCAGAGAGATGGTATCATGAGTGACGAGGCAGAGGTCATTGGCATGGATGAGACAGGTAACCCCAGGAAAGTGGAAAGAGAAAGCAGAGAGGCCCTGGACAGAGTCCCAGAGACCTGCCAGTCTGGAGCTGGGCTGAGGGGAGGCTTCGAGGAAGGAGACAGAGGTTGCTGGAGAGGTGGGCAGAGTGTCTGAGGCCTCGAGCAGGGGGCACATAGGTCCTTGAAGTGAGGGCCAAGGCTTTGCATTGGAATCATTCCCAGAGTGACTTGGGACATTATTCAGAGGCCCCCAGGGCTGCTGGGAAGGGACAGCAGGCCCACGCTCCAGGGGACCCGGGAACGAAGGGAAGACCCCAGGCTGTGATAATAACAGCAACAGCCAGCGCTTACCAAGCACTTCCCCCGCCCCTGGTGCTGCGCCCAGCACCCAAGCTCCCTTTCCAAGGTGAGGGACACCAAGACTTAGAAAATCAAAGTCACGACCAGGCACAGTGGCTCACGCCTGTAATCCCAGCACTTTGGGAGGCCGAGGCAGGAGACTTGCTTGAGCCCAGGAGTTCAAGACCACCCTGGGCAACAGAGGAAGACCTCGTCTCTACAAAGCAAACAAACAAACAAACAAAAAATGAGCCTGGCATGGTGGCACGTGCCTGTGGTCCCAGCTACTTGGGAGGCTGAGGTGGGAGGATCCCTTGAGCTTGGGAGGTTGAGGCTGCAGCAAGCTGTGACTGCACCAGTGCACTCCAGCCTGGGCAACAGAGCGAGACACTGTCTCAAAAAAGAAAAGCAAAGCAAAGCCACTCACATGAGGTCTTGCTCCTGGGGACGGGCATGGCCAGGACTCCAACCCCGGCAGCCTGTCCCAGAGCCCTGGAGCTAGCCCCAGTGCAGTCTCTCCACCACCCCGCACTTCCTCAGGCCACCTTCCTGCCACAGCCTTTTCCCCAAACCTGGTATCACCCCCTCTCCTCCCTCCCTAATCCCACCTCTCGGGCCTGGCCACTCCACCCCACCCCTTCCAGGACTCAGATTCAGACTCTGAGGGAGGAGCCGCTGGTGGAGAAGCAGACAGTGAGTATCTTCCTGGAGGGACAGGGAGCAGGGTTCTGGGGGGCGGGGGGATTTCAGGGCAGGGGTGTGGGTGATACCTCCTCAACTCCATCAGGAGTGACATCCAAAGTATGTAGCAGTGGGTTGGGTACCAGTGCCAGAGCAGGCTCCTGGAGGCCGCTGGCTGGGCCGGGCCTTGTGCCTTTAGATGTGGGGAGGCCGGGAACCCCAGGGCTGGGGCCAGGGTGCCGGAGACATCCATGCCCCTGGCTGAATGCCCGTCCTGCCGCTGTCTCTCTTCTTTCCGGTCAGTGGACTTCCTGCGGAACTTATTCTCCCAGACGCTCAGCCTGGGCAGCCAGAAGGAGCGTCTGCTGGACGAGCTGACCTTGGAAGGGGTGGCCCGGTACATGCAGAGCGAACGCTGTGAGTCCCCTGTCAGGATTGGGCCACTTTGCCTGGCTCCTGGCCCCAAGTGACCTCCCATCCCCAGCCACTTGAACCATTTATTGAAACCTTTTCTTTATAAGTAGCAAGAAACCCAGCTGGAACTGGCTTAAGCCAAAAAGGAGTGTGTTGGCTCTAATCCAGCTTGAAGCACGGCTGGGTCCAGGTGCTTCCACTTTGTTAAAAATCATAACTCTCTCTGATGCTGCTTTTCTTGTTTTGGGGTAAAGGTAACTCCTGGCAGCTGCAAATGCAGGTTCCACTAGCCTAGGAGCTGCCACCGAGAGAGCACCTTTTCCCAGTAGTTCAAACCAAACAGCAGAGATTGGCTCCCATTGGTCCCGGTTGAGTCAAATGCCTGCCCCCATGCCTCTGATTGGCCAGACCTGGGTCGCTTCTCCATTGCTGAGTGAATTACTGCACTCTGATTGACCAGGCCTGTTTCATAAAATGAGGATAATGATTATAGTATCTAACTCATAAGGTTATTGGCGGGGCTAAATAAATTAATATAGGACCAGGGGCAGTGGCTCATGTATGTAATCTCAGCACTTTGGGAGGCCATCGTGGGAGGATCACTCAACGCCAGGCGTTCAAGACCAGCCTGGGCAACATAGTGAGACCCCCCCGCCATCTCTACAAGAAAAAAAAAAATAGTCAGATATGGGGGCGTTGCCTGTAGTCTCAGTTACTCAGGAGGCTGAGAAGGGAGGATTGTTTGAGCCCAGGAATTGGAGGCTGCAGTGAGCTATGATGGCACCACTGCACTGCAGCCTGGGCAACACAGTGAGACTCTGACTCTAAAAAAAAATAAAGTAATAAAATTTAAAAGATAAATAAAAATGCAAATGCTTAGAGCAGGGCCTGGAACATAGCGAGAGCTGTGGCAGGGTGTGCCGTGGTTATTACTACAGGAGGCTTATTTCAGATGTGGTGGATAGGTGTCCACTTACTGAGTCAGCATGAAATTTATATTTCTTTTTCTTTTTTTTTTTTTGAGATGGAGTCTTGCTCTGTTGCCCAGGCTGGAGTGCAGTGGCACAATCTCAGCTCACTGCAACCTCCACCTCCCGGGTTCCAGCAATTCTCCTGCCTCAGCCTCCCGAGTGGCTGGGATTACAGACGCACACCACCACGACTGGCTAATTTTTTGTATTTTAGTAGAGACAGGGTTTCACCATGTTGCCCAGGCTGGTCTTGAACACCTGAGCTCAGGCAATCCACCCTCCTCGGCCTCCCAAAGTGCTAGGATTAGAGGCATGAACCACCCGTCCCGGCCTGAAATTTATATTTCTTGCCACAAGTTGAGGTCACCAAAGTCTGAGAAACCAGGCCCTTGGCAGTCCTCAACTAGAACAATCGACCCTTTGTGGTTCCTGAGCAGCCTTTTGTTGAGGACATCTTCTCCTGTGTCCCTGTCCTCCAGCTGCCACTGTCTCCCTCCTCAGGCAGCCAGGCCTGCTGCCCTGAGCCTCCCTCTCCTGCGGCAGGCGAGCAGCTGTCTGCAGCCATCTTTTAGCCTGGGCAGGCCCCAAAGACAACACAGGCAGTGGCTACAAAGCATTTGTTCCTTGTGTCCTCCTGCACCTGGATTCTGGGGTAATTGGCTCATGAGGGTGCCCAGGAGGAGATAGTAATGAAAAATAACAATTAGTTGAGGCCGGGAGTGGTGGTTCAGGCCTATAATCCCACCATTTTGGGAGGCTGAAAGCAGGAGGATCGCTTGAGGCCAGTAGGTCAAGACTAGCCTGGGCAATAAGCGAGACCCCCTCTCTGCAAAAATTTAAAGGTGAGGCTCCAACCCTCACCTCACTGCTCTAAAAATTTATTATTATTATTATTTTGAGACAGAGTCTCACTCTGTTACCCAGGCTGGAGTGCAGTGGCGCTATCATGGCTCACTGCAACCTCTGCCTCCCGGGTTCAAGCGATTCTCCTGCTTCAGCCTCCCGAGTAGCTGGGATTACAGGCGCGTGCCACCACGCCCGGCTAATTTTTGTACTTTTAGTAGAGACGGGGTTTCACCATGTTAGCCAGGCTGGTCTTGAACTCCTGACCTCAGGTGATCTGCCCCCCTCGGCCTCCCAAAGTGCTGGGATTACAGGAGTGAGCCACCGGGCCCGGCCCTAAAAATTTCTTTTTAACCACTTAATTGAGGCTTCACTATTTGCCAGGCACTGGGCTCAGCACTTTACAAGTGCCCTATTATTTGATATTCACATTATACCTGTAAGATCATTATGGAAGTGATCTGAACAGAGGAGGAAAAGGAGGCACAAAAAGGTCACGACTCAGTGTAGGGTCAAACAGTTGCCAAGTGGCAGAGCCAGGATTTGACCCCAGGTCCCCTGAATCCAGACCACATGTAGCCACCACTGGATTCAACCAGGCCTGGCCTGATGGCATCTCAGAGCTGAAGCTCAGGGCTGAAGCTGTGGCAGGCTTTGTGCTCTGTTCACCTTTGCTGTCCTCCCTTGGACAGGGCATCCCAGAGGCATCTGATCCACAGCATATCACACTTGTGCCTGTCTATCAGCTGATGGGCAGATGCCAGGGTACTATGGCCTGGTGGCTACTCACCAGCCACCAGCTAGCTATTTCTGCTCAGCCCAGGGTTCTTATCCTAAAGTGGCCTTTTCTCAAGTCCAAGTTGGTGTGATTTCCAACAGTGGATTCTCTTTTTTTTTTTTTTTTCCTTTTTTTGAGATGGAGTCTCGCTCTGTCACCCAGGCTAGAGTGCAATGGCATGATCTCGGCTCACTGCAACCTCCGCCTCCCGGGTTCAAGTGATTCTCCTGCCTCAGCCTCCCAAGTAGCTGAGATTACAGGCACGTGCCACCACGCCTGGCTAATTTTGTATTTTCAGTAGAGATGAGGTTTTGCCATGTTGGCCAGGCTGGGCTCAAACTCTTGACCTCAGATGACCCGCCTGCCTCAGCCTCCCAAAGTTCTGGGATTACAGGCATGAGCCACTGCACCCAGCCCAACACTGGATTCTTTATCCGCTGGCTGGCTCTTCCGCAGTTGATTGTGTGACTTCTTCCCCTATCTGAGCCCCAGTTTTCTCATTTATAAAATGGGGATGTTAACACCATCCCCGTCTAGATGATTGGAAGGCCCGTCATGCATCTGAGATGCTTGCCCCAGGGCCTGGCATGGAGTAAACGATGTCAGGGGCTGTGATGGGTGGTGCTATCGTAGGGACTGAGCAAACGGTGTCATATGGTGCATAAGTTCCTCTCCTCCAGGTCGCAGAGTCATCTGTTTGGTGGGAGCTGGAATCTCCACATGTAAGTAACCCTTCTCCCCCAGCAGCTACCCCCAGGAACTGGGGAGTCCCTCCCAAGGGCTGGGGAGGAGCCCTATCTGAGCCCTGTCCTGGGAGGGTTAGTATGGTATAGACCAACTGCTCCCTGACCCCCCTTTCCTAGCCGCAGGCATCCCCGACTTTCGCTCTCCATCCACCGGCCTCTATGACAACCTAGAGAAGTACCATCTTCCCTACCCAGAGGCCATCTTTGAGATCAGCTATTTCAAGGTTTGTGCTCCCCCAGGAAGGGGCGTCTGTGAGGGGTGGGGATGGGGTCACCTGGCTCCAACCCTCACGCTACCTGGGGCATCTGGCCCTCTGGCTGTCTCTCCTACAGAAACATCCGGAACCCTTCTTCGCCCTCGCCAAGGAACTCTATCCTGGGCAGTTCAAGGTGAGATCTTTGTTTTGCAGGGGGCGAAACAGGAAGGGTTGGGGGAGGGCACGCATGAGAAGCCCCGCCAAGGCCCTGCAGACAAATATTATGTAGCCATTAAGTACATGGGTGCTGGGCCCAGACTGCCTCGGTTCAAGTCCTGGTTCCTCGTGTCTTCATCTTACGACCTTGAGCCTCCGATTTGCCTCCTGTGAAGTGAAGCTAATGGTACTGTCTGAAGAGGGCTGCTGCGAGGCTTAGCTGACTAATGATGCCGTTGAGAGCCCGGGACCCTGCAGCCGGGCTGCCTGGGTGTGAATCTCAGCTCTGCAGCTTACCCACCGTGTGACTTTGGCAACACAATCCCCTTCCCTGTCCTTCAGTTTCCTCATCTGTGATCTGGGGATAGCAGTGGTCTCTCCCCGACGCGGCTGCTGTGACGGTTCCCTGGGGGTAAAACAGTCACAGTGCCTAGAACAGTTCCTGGCATGCGGCAGTGGCCTGTGGCTGTTCCCTGCAGTCGTCAGCAGTGCTGTCGCTCTTCCCTGCAGCCAACCATCTGTCACTACTTCATGCGCCTGCTGAAGGACAAGGGGCTACTCCTGCGCTGCTACACGCAGGTAGGCGGATGCGAGCATCCTGGGAGGAGGATGGGCGGGTGGAACGGGCATGGTGTCCTCAGCAGAGGAGCAGAGCTGCGTGCCCAAGAGCTCAGGCGGGGACTCCAGCAATGCGGGGCCAGGGCTTGGCCTACTGCCTCCTTGCTGCATGACCTGCCGTGAGTCACGTCTTCTCTGCCTCAGTTTCCCCTTCCGTCAAACAGGGGCCAGAAAAGGTTTGCCCTCTCAGGTCTGCCCTCTCAGGTCTGCAGTGCGGTGGCAGTGACCTCCTCTCAGGGCCATCCCATGTGTGATGTGGAAGGAGCCTATGGCTGAAGGGACTCTGTGTGCACTATAGGCACCCCAGATTTCACATTGGTTATGAGCGAGTTTCCAAAGTGACTTCATCTAACAAAATCCATACACTATGACACGTGTCCAACAAGTAGATGTTGTGCCTTAAGGAAGGGGCACCTTTTTATAGTTTTTTGTGCTTTGCCCAATTATAAACATGTCTCGTACACGTCAGGTGCTTAGCCAAGGGCCTCTCCCTGGGGCATTCAAGCAAGGATGGCTCACATTGTTGGCTTCTGGTTTGGAGAGTCTCACACCCCTAACAGTAAAAAAATCTTGATGGGCTGGGCACAGTGGCTCACACCTGTAATCCCAGCACTTTGGGAGGCCAAAGCGAGAGATAGCTCGAGCCCAGGCGTTTGGGACCCGCCTGGGCAACATAGGGAGACCCTGTCTCTACAAGAAATACAAAAATTAGCTGGGCAGGGTGGCGTGTGCCTGTAGCCCCAGCTACTCAGGAGGCTGAGGTAGGGGGATTGCTTGAGTTCAGGAAGTCAAGACTGCAGTGAGCTATGATGGTGCCACTGTACTGTAGCCTGGGAGACCTGGTTTCAAAGAAACAAAAAACAAATCAAAACAACAACAAAATGTTGCTGCCTCTACCTGTTTTATGAATATGTATAGAAATGACATGATGCACTACAACAGTATTAATTCAAGCTCTAGATCACACCTCAGAACCCCGAATTATAAAACAGGTGGCCGGGCGCGGTGGCTCACGCCTGTAATCCCAGCACTTTGGGACACCGAGGTGGGCAGATCACGAGGTCAGGAGTTCAAGACCAGCCTGTCCAACATCATGAAATCTGGTCTCTACTAAAAATACAAAAATTAGCCAGGTGTGGTGGTGCCTGTAACCCCAGCTACTCGGGAGGCTGAGGCAGGAGAATCGCTTGAACCTGGGAGGCAGAGGTTGTAGTGAGTCAAGATTGTGCCACTGCACTCCAGCCTGGGTGACAGAGCAAGACTCCATCTCAATTTAAAAAAACAAACAAACAAACAAAAAAGAGTGGTAACATTGAAAATAAATAAGTGTTCTAGTGTTTTCTCCCTGTACCTGCAGTTTGGCACCTGCAGCCCCAAAAGCTACCGCCAGGGGGAGGAACAACTGGCTTTAAGTTCAGATTTCTCAGGTGGGCGAGGTGTTCCCACCTGGGGCTGGTAGGAGGCAGAGGGCAGCGGAGGCCTCCTTCTTCCAAGAGGAGGAGTCCTGTGATCCCCACACTTTGGGAGGCCAAAGTGGGAGATCGCTTGAGCCCATGAGTTCAAGACCAGCCTGGGCAACATAGGGAGACTCCGGGCTCAGAATAAACCTTCTGCCCAGAGAGTCACCATTATTCCAGGACGTGGCTCAGATATGATAACAGCTTGCTTGAAGCCAAGTGCTTTTTGTGGTTGATGTCATGACACTCACCCCAAGACCCCGCTGGCCCTTGTTTGTCAGCTTCTGTCAAAGTAAATGTTCACTGAGTTGATTCCCTACAGCAGGGAGGGAGATGATGGACAAGATGGAGACACCATATACTGAGCATATAAGATGGTCATGGGTCCCTGGAACACAGTTAAGCTGGAAGGGGAGTCAGAAACGGTGTATGTGTTCGGGAAAGGGGGTGCTGTTGTAAACCCCATCTCTACGAAAAATACAAAAATTAGCCAGGCGTGGTGGCACATGCCTGTAGTCCTAGTTACTCAGGAGGCTGAGGCATGAGAGTTGCTTGAACCTGGGAGGTGGAGGTTGCCCTGAGCTGAGATTGCCCCACTGCACTCCAGCCTGGGTGACAGAGAGAGACTCCGTCTCAAAAAAAGAAAAAAAATGACACATCACATACAAACTATTATATAAAGGCCAGGCGCGGTGGCTCACGTCTGTAATCCCAGCACTTTGGGAGGCCAAAGTCAACGTCAGGAGTTTAAGACCAGCCTGGCCAACATGGTGAAACCCTGTCTCTACTAAAAATACAAAAATTAGCTGGGTGTGGTGGTGCGTGCCTGTAATCCCAGCTACTCAGGATGCTGAGGCAGGAGAATCACTTAAACCTGGGAGGCAGAGGTTGCAGTGAGCCAAGATTCCGCCATTGCACTCCAACCTGGGCAACAGAGCAAGACTCCATCTCAAAAAAAAAAAAAAAAAAATTAGCCAGGCATGGTAGTGCACACCTGTAGTCCCAGCTACTTGGGAGCTTGAGAGAGGAGGATTGCTTGAGCCCAGGATTTCAAGGCTACAGTGAGCTATGATCAAGCTACTGTACTCCAGCCTGGACCAGTAGAGCAAAATCCTGTCAAAAGAAAAAAAAAAAAAAACCATGTTGTCAAAGAATAACAGAACGCAGAGGTATTTCGGTGGTTCTTTTCCACGCTGTTCAGTTATTTGCTTACTGTTCAGTTATTTGCAAATTGCTCACTCACATGTGAGGGAGTCAGTGGGTAGACTGAGTCAAGTACCAAAGGCAAAACCAAGATTTAGAATAGTGGGCAAGGGAGGAAAGTTACAGGGCGTGTGGGAACAGTGACAGTGACTCTTGTCTGTAGGCTTTGGAGATAAGGTGGTTGCTGGTAGGGAGCCCAGAAGGCAGTTAGAGCATTCTTTCTGCCCTTGAAGGGAAACAAACCCTTCCCGTTGTTTCTGGAGTCCCTGGGAAACGCTGTCAGTTTGGCCCTGGGCCACACATGCGAGCCATCTCTGCGTAACCTCTGCCAGTGTCCTCTGTCAGCACCTGTTTTAGCGGCATTCCTCACAGGCAAACAACAGCTGCTCCAAAGGGGGTGGTTGTTTTAAGAAAAATGAGCGCGCACAAATGTCTGTGCAGAAAAGAACATTCCCACCTGTTTAATATGGAAAGTCTCACTGTCTTAAAAGAAAACAGTGGCCGGGCGCAGTGGCTCACACCTGTAATCCCAGCACTTTGGGAGGCTGAGGTGGGCAGATCACGAGGTCAGGAGATCGAGACCATCCTGACCAACATGGTGAAACCCCGTCTCTACTAAAAATACAAAAATTAGCTAGGCATGGTGGCGCGTGCCTGTGTTCCCAGCTACCTGGAAGGCTGAGGCAGGAGAATCACTTGAACCTGGGAGGCGGAGCTTGCAGTGAGCCAAGATTGCGCCACTGCACTCCAGCCTGGCAACAGAGCAAGACTCCGTCTCAAAAAAAAAAAAAAAAATAGCCACGCATGGTGGCGGGTGCCTGTAATCTCAGCTACTTGAGAGGCGGAGGCAGGGAGAATTGCTTGAACTCAGGAGGCAGTGGTTGCAGTGAGCCGAGATAGCGCCATTGTACTCCAGCCTGGGCAACAAGAGTGAAACTCCATCTGAAAAAAAAAAAAAAGAAAAGAAAAGAAAAGAAAACAGTGGCTGGGCATGGTGTCTCACGCCTGTAATCCCAACGCTTTGGGAGGCTGAAGTGGGAGGATCACTTGAGCCCAGGAGTTCAAGACCAGCCCGGGCAAATAGGGAGACCACCCCACCCCCCATCTCTACAAAAATAATTAAAAAGATAAAAAATTAGCCGGGCATGGTGGCATTTGCCTGTAGTCCCAGCTACTCAGTGGGCTGAGGTGGGAGGATGGCTTGAGCCCAGGAGGTGAAGGCTACAGTGAGCTGTGATCAGACCACTACACTCCAGCCTGAGTGACAGAGCAAGACCCTGCCTCCAAAAAAAGAAAAGAACACAGGTGAATATGCCATCTATGAAACAGGCCATAGTAAGAAAGGACCCTGGCTACTAAAGGGGAAGATAGTGATTAAAGCCAAGGAAGGGCCAGGCATGATGACTCACACTGTAATCCCAGCACATTGGGAGGCTGAGGCAGAAGGCTCGCTGACCAGCCTGGGCAACATAGTGAGACCCCATCTCTACAGAAAATTTTAAAAATCAGCCAGATGTGGAGGCTGAGGTGGGAGGATTGCTTGAGCCCAGGAGTTGGAGGCTGCAGTGAGCTATGATTGTACCACTGCACTATAGCCTGGGCGACAGAGTGAGACCTTGTCTCAAATACATAAAAAAACATGGCTAGGCACAGTGGCTCATGTCTATAATCCCAGCACTTTGGGAGGCCGAGGCAAGCAAATCACGAGGTCCAGAGTTCGAGACCAGCCTAGCCAACATGGTGAAACCCCATCTCTACTAAAAATACAAAAATTAGCCAGTCATGGTGGTGCGTGCCTGTAATCCCAGCTACTTGGGAGACTGAGGCAGGAAAATCTCTTGAACCTGGGAGTCAGAGGTTGCAGTGAGCCGAGATTGTGCCACTGCACTCCAGCCTGGGTGACAGAGCAAGACTCCATCTCAAAAAACAAACAAACAAACAAACAAACAAACCACACCTAGTAAGCCCTCCTGATTCATTTATGTTAATGCTTGCCTAGAGCTGCCACATGCAGCTGTGCAGGGTGCGCACTGCACAAGGATGCCACATCTGAGGGGGCTCCATTAATAACAGAGACATTGTAAATGTATGTTAATTTCAGCAATTAATGACAGGTGGAAATAAAGCATCTGGCTCTAATAAAACAACATTTTTTTTCTGAAAAATGAAAGCAAATGGCCTGAATTTGCAGAATAAAAGCCACACAGGCTGTGGAGTGGCTGTGGGCCTGGCCTCATAGATATTTAGGTTTGGGCCCCTTTTTTTTTTTTTTTTTTTTTAATTTTTTGTAGAGACAAGCGTCTTGATATGTTGCTCAGGCAGGTCTTGAACTCCTGGCCTCAAGTGATCCTCCCACCTCAGCCTCCCAAAGTGCTGGGATTATAGGCGTGAGCCGCCATGCCCAGCCTGGCCCCTGCCTTTAAGCAGCCTTGACTGTCACCCTTTAAGTGGCACCATTGGGATGAACAGAAGAGTCTTCAGATAAACCCTGCCACTTGCTTCTCCTCCCTCCCTTCTCCACCTGTCCCCACCACCTCACTGCTCCTCGTGGCCCTCAACTCCCTACTGTGCCTTCTGGCCTACAAGGGGTGGCTCACTCCTCACCCCTCTTCCCTCCATCTCTCCCTCTAGAACATAGATACCCTGGAGCGAATAGCCGGGCTGGAACAGGAGGACTTGGTGGAGGCGCACGGCACCTTCTACACATCACACTGCGTCAGCGCCAGCTGCCGGCACGAATACCCGCTAAGCTGGATGAAAGGTGAGGCTGGAGGGCATCCTGAGGGCAGGCCTCCTCTCAGCACCAGGAGCAGTGTCTCCATGCAGTGGGCACCCATTCTGTCCTGCTCAATTCTTTGGGGTTTTTTTGTTTTGTTTGTTTGTTTTTGAGACAGAGTCTCACTCTGTCGCCCACGCGGGGAGTTCAGTGGGTGATCATGGCTCACTGCAGCCCAACTGCCTGATTTCCTGTCTTTGGCTGTTTTTAATATATGATAGTAGGCCAGGAGCAGTGGCTCACACCTGTAATCCTAGCACTTTGGGAGGCCAAGGCGGGCAGATCACCTGAGGTCAGGAGTTCAAGACCAGCCTGGCTAACATGGTGAAACCCCGTTTCTACTAGAAATACAAAAAAAAAAAAATTAGCCTGGTGTGGTGGCATGCGCCTGTAATCCCAGCTACTCAGGAGGCTGAGGCAGGAGAATCGCTTGAACCTGGGAGGCGGAGGCTGCAGTGAGCTGAGTTCGCACCATTGCACTCCAGCTTGGGCAACAAGAGCAAAACTCTGTCTCAAAAAAAAAAAAAAAAAAAAAACAAGAAGTCACTTATTCCACTCATGGAAAGCCATTTCTGACATTCTTTATGCTGATTTAACAAAGCCTCTGGTGTCCCTGTGAGATAAGGACAGCTGCAGCATTTGCAGAAGGGCCTCTGGAGTGTGGCTGTTCTGATAAAATGCCAGCTGAGTGCCCCTGGGCTGAGGATTCCTGAATAGCCCAACTGCAAGCAGCTGGGGGCAGTGTACAATTCACATTACCCCCATTATGTGTCATTGACAGCAGCGTCACAGGCAGCACCCACGGTGTCATGCTGTCCATGCAGAAATATTTTAAAGAAAATTACCGACTACTGACATTGAAACAATGCTTTATAAATGTGTGCTGAATGAATGAATGGACAGTTGAGCAAATGACTTAGAATTCAGTGGGTTGCAAGTGACAGAAATGCTTTCTTTCTTTCTTTTTTTTTTTTTTGAGATGGAGTCTTGCTCTGTCACCCAGGCTGGAGTGCAGTGGTGCAATCTCGGCTCACTGCAACCTCCGCCTCCCGGGTTCAAGCAATTCTCCCTGCCTCGGCCTCCCAAGTAGCTGGGATTACAGGCACGTGCTACAACCCCTGGCTAATTTTTATATTTTTAGTAGAGACGGGGTTTCACCACGTTGGCCAGGCTGGTCTCAAACTCCTGACCTCAAACGATCCACTCGCCTCAGCCTCCCAAAGTGCTGGGATTACAGGCGTGAGCCACCACACCCGGCCAGAAATGCTTTCAAGCTTCCTAAATCAATAAGAAATAAGGCCAGGCACAGTGGCTCATGCCTGTAATCCCAACACTTTTGGACGTCGAGGTGGGTGGATCACTTGAGCCCAGGAGTTTGAGAACAGCCTGGGCAACATAGGGAGATCCCATCTCTAAAAAAAATAAAATGTAGCCAGGTGCGATGGTGGATGCCTGTGAGCCCAGCTACTCGGGAGGCTAAGGCAGGAGGATCACTTGAGCCTGGGAAGTCGGTGGTGCAGTAAGCTATGATCACACCACTGCACTCAACCATGATTGCACCACCACACTCCAGCCTGGGCAACAGAGTGAGAACCTGTCTCAAAAAAACAAACAAACCAATAAGGCCGGGCGCAGTGGCTCACACCTGTAATTGCAGCTCTTTGAGAAGCCAAAGTGGGCAGATTTGCTTGAGCCCAGGAGTTTGAGACCAGCCTGGGCAACATGGCGAAACCCTGTCTCTACAAAAAATACAAAATTTAGCCGGGCGTGCTGGCATGCACCTGTAATCCCAGCTACTCAGGAGGCTGAGGCAGGAGGATCACTTGAAGCTGGGAGGTTGAGGCTACAGTAAGCCATGATCGTGCCACTGCATTCCAGCCCGGGCAACAGAGTGAGACCTTATCTCAAAAAAAAAAAGAAAGAAAAAAACAAAAAAAATGCAACAACAAGAAGAGAGGTCTTTTCTGAGCAGAGTGGACACCTCAGGAGACACCCATCACACTCCAAGTGATGGAGGTGTGTTCATGTTAACAGTGGAAGAGGGGTGGGGGTGCTGCACCTCCAGACTCCGGCCCAGATCCTCTTACTGCCTTCTCTTTCTTCCCCTTCCCCATACCCAGAGAAGATCTTCTCTGAGGTGACGCCCAAGTGTGAAGACTGTCAGAGCCTGGTGAAGCCTGGTGAGCCTCTGGCCAGGGACCTGCCCAGGTGGATTTGGGTGGGGGTCCCCTCCTCCCCCTGACCCCCTCCCAAAGGCCACACCCGCACACATCTGGCCACCTCTGTCTCTCTGAACAGTGCCCCAGATCCATCCTGGGGAGAATGGGGTCTGTGCCCCTGGCCGGTCCCCACTGCTCCCAACTCCCACTGTGGCCTCCGGGTCTGCCATTGCTCCCACCTGTCCTCTCTGCCTCCCCATGTCACTGTCTCTGTCCGTCCATCTGTCTCCACCTCAGATATCGTCTTTTTTGGTGAGAGCCTCCCAGCGCGTTTCTTCTCCTGTATGCAGTCAGTAAGTGGCCCCCCAGCCTCCCCGCATCCCCAACCGCCGCCTCCACCTGTGCTGGGCCCCATGGGGGCAGCCTGGGCCCTGCCTCAGGAAAGGTCACCTCCCCAGCTATGGGGGGCGGCAGGGAGGTTTGCTGCTGGGGGCGGGGGAGGGAGCGGTGGCGCAGCCTGGGCGGAGGCTCCCAAGCTCACGCCCCTCCCCGCAGGACTTCCTGAAGGTGGACCTCCTCCTGGTCATGGGTACCTCCTTGCAGGTGCAGCCCTTTGCCTCCCTCATCAGCAAGTAGGTTGGGGGCTGTGGCTGGGAGGACGGCTGGGCACCCAGGGCCAGGACAGACCCTGACCCCTTAGCTCCCCCTCCCCACAGGGCACCCCTCTCCACCCCTCGCCTGCTCATCAACAAGGAGAAAGCTGGCCAGGTAAGAGCCCTTCTTCAAGCCCCCGTCGTCACAGGCTCCCCCTTCCCTCTCACCCTTTTCCTCAGAGGGAACCCCCACTGTGGAACCCCAGCACTTTGCATTCCTCAGCTCAGAACCTGGGGCTCTAGAATCCAGAGGGGTCGGGTTCCAGGCCTCTGGGACATTCACTGCCCTTTTGAGCAAGTGATAGAATTCCAACTCAAACCAGCTGAAGCCAGATAGGAAGGCCGGGCTTCCAGGGACTGAGGAGGTGGGAGGGGGTGCAGGGGTCAGGAGAGACAGTGCGGGGGGCGGGGTTGGGTCCACGCTCTGGGTCTCTCAGGTCTGTTTTTCCTGGGCAGCCTCACTCTAGGGCAGGTGCTCCCTCCTAGGTGTTCCCCTCAGGGGAAGTAGGCAGGGTCACCGGGCAAGCAGCGCACGCTGTGGGCAGACACTGTCCCAAGTCTTAGCCTGCGTGAACTCACTGGCGCCACAACCCCATCGCGGTTTTGTGATCACCCCTATTCTACAGGAAACTAAGACACAGAGAGGACAAGTCACTTGACCAAAGTCACTGAGCTGGCTGGGCGCAATGGCTCACGCCTGTAATTCCAGCACTTTGGGAGGCCGAGGCGGGTGGATCACCTGAGGTCAGGAGTTCGAGACCAGCCTGACCAACATGGTGAAACCCCGTCTCTACTAATAATACAAAATTAGCCGGGCATGGTGCTGGGCACCTGTCATCCAGGCTACTCGGGAGGTTGAGGCGGGAGAATCACTTGAACCCAGGAGGTGGAGGTTGCAGTGAGCCGAGATCACATCATTGCACTCCAGCCTGGGCAACAAGAGTGAAACTTTGTCTCAAAAAAAACCAAAAAAACAACAACAAAAAAAAAACAAAGTCACAGAGCTAGGATACAAACCCAGGCCACCTGGCTCCAGGGTCTGTGCTCTTAGCTCTCCCTTCCCTGCTCCTGCCCCTGACCCACCCCCTCCCTGACAGTCGGACCCTTTCCTGGGGATGATTATGGGCCTCGGAGGAGGCATGGACTTTGACTCCAAGAAGGCCTACAGGTGAGGCCCCGCCGGGGGTTGGGGCAGCCTGGAAGGGACAGGGTGAGGTGGGAGCGGGGGCACGAAGGCAGATGAGAGGAGCAGGCAGGGGCGAGCCCGCCTGGGAACTCTGATCTCCTGCTGCACCGCAGGGACGTGGCCTGGCTGGGTGAATGCGACCAGGGCTGCCTGGCCCTTGCTGAGCTCCTTGGATGGAAGGTGAGGAGCTGAGCAACCCCAGCCTGTCCTGAGCCCCATCCCTGGACCCTCTCCCCACCCCATGGGTCCTCTGACCCCATGATGCACAGTGACCTTTGACTTCTGTGACCTTTGCTCCTGCAGAAGGAGCTGGAGGACCTTGTCCGGAGGGAGCACGCCAGCATAGATGCCCAGTCGGGGGCGGGGGTCCCCAACCCCAGCACTTCAGCTTCCCCCAAGAAGTCCCCGCCACCTGCCAAGGACGAGGCCAGGACAACAGAGAGGGAGAAACCCCAGTGACAGCTGCATCTCCCAGGCGGGATGCCGAGCTCCTCAGGGACAGCTGAGCCCCAACCGGGCCTGGCCCCCTCTTAACCAGCAGTTCTTGTCTGGGGAGCTCAGAACATCCCCCAATCTCTTACAGCTCCCTCCCCAAAACTGGGGTCCCAGCAACCCTGGCCCCCAACCCCAGCAAATCTCTAACACCTCCTAGAGGCCAAGGCTTAAACAGGCATCTCTACCAGCCCCACTGTCTCTAACCACTCCTGGGCTAAGGAGTAACCTCCCTCATCTCTAACTGCCCCCACGGGGCCAGGGCTACCCCAGAACTTTTAACTCTTCCAGGACAGGGAGCTTCGGGCCCCCACTCTGTCTCCTGCCCCCGGGGGCCTGTGGCTAAGTAAACCATACCTAACCTACCCCAGTGTGGGTGTGGGCCTCTGAATATAACCCACACCCAGCGTAGGGGGAGTCTGAGCCGGGAGGGCTCCCGAGTCTCTGCCTTCAGCTCCCAAAGTGGGTGGTGGGCCCCCTTCACGTGGGACCCACTTCCCATGCTGGATGGGCAGAAGACATTGCTTATTGGAGACAAATTAAAAACAAAAACAACTAACAATCCGGTCTGGCCTCCTGTTTCTTTCTGTGGGCACCCAGGGAAATCTCTGAAGGGAGGGGGTTAGATCTTGGGCCACTAAGGAACCAGAAAGTCTCCGGGATCCAGAGTGAGGGGTAACAAGAGGGTCCTCACGGGGGCCCTCGTGGCTCTGACCCCTGGACTCCCAGCCTGCCAGTGTCCCTTCCTCTAAGCCCCGTCACTAAAGGCCTGAGGCCCCAGAAAGAGGGAGGAAAGTTGACTTCAGATACCCCAGCCCCGCCTCTTCCCCCTGCCTGCTCAGCTTCCTCTCTCCACTTCCTGCTACTGCAGGCCTCTCCTCCGAGAACAGGTAGGGCCCCCAGGAACCGAGCATCTGGCATCTTCAGCCCCTGCTGCCTCCCTTTGGTATGAGGCAGCTGCCCTGACCCACCCCTGCCACGCACTGCCCACAGCCTCCTCTCCTGCCACGGTACACAAGCAGGCATCTGCTTCCCTCTCCCCTCCCCTCCCCTCCCTTCCTTCCTGCTCTTGCCTGGGCAGGGCACCTGCGCCTCCCTGCCCACCTCCCTCCTTCCTAATAACACCCTGGCCTTCTGGTCAATGGCCTAATGTATTTGTTTAGCTGCCTATTATCCATATGCTACACCTGCCCCAAACAAGAATGGAAGGCCCTGAGGGGAGGAGCCTGTCCTGTTCATCACCCTCTCTCCAGGGCAGAGGCACCTAATTCCAGCCTGTATTCAGTAAATACTGGATGGATGGAAGGAAGGAAGGAAGGGAGGGAGGGAGGGAGGGAGGATGGATCCTCCCCCGATCCAGGTCTCCTGCTCCTGGGACTGCTGCTGGGATAAGTGCCACCCTAAGTGATAACCTACGTAGGACTCTGTACCTGGTTAGGAGCTGGGGCCTGATGGGTGGATGAAGAGAGAGAGGAACAGATGTGTGATAAAGCAAGATGAGTAAAATGTTCATGGTAGAATCTTGGTAGTGGGCATAGGGATGTTTCCTGTACAATTCTTTCAGCTTTTCTCTATGTCTGAAATTTTTCATAATAAAATGCTGGGGGAAGAGATTCAGTGGCCCCTCCATGGTGTGGGAAGGGAGGAAGAGGGGATGTTATTACCTTTCCAGATATAGGGACTGCCTACTCTGGGCCAAGAACTTTTCCAGGCGCTGACTGGGTTTTGCCAAGGGCTGGCCCACATTTACACAGCCCCCATGGCTGTTAAAAATCTTAACATATTTCCTACCACTTCAGTAAAGAGCTATTGTTTTGAGTCCTCTCCCCACACCGCAAGACACACTGGCCTCTCTCCTGGGATCCCCAGATTCCCCACCATCCGGTACTAAAGATTTAACCCCTGCCGGCCGGGTGTGGTGGCTCATGCCTGTAATCTCAGCACTTTGGGAGGCCGAGGCGGGGGGATCACTTGAGGTCAGGAGTTTGAGACCAGCCTGGGTAACACGTCAAAACCTTGTCTCTACTAAAAAATACAAAAATTACCCAGGCGTGGTGGTGCACGCCTGTAATCCCAACTACTCGGGAGACTGAGGCACAAGAATCGCTTGAACCTACGAGGCGGAGGTTGCAGTGAGCTGAGATCGTGCCACTGCACTGCAGTCTGGGCAATACAGTGAGACTCCGTCTCAAAAATAAAATAAAGAATTAACCCCTGCCACGGCAAGCGGCCTCTGGGGTCCATTCTGATTGGTCAGGGTCTCTGCCATATTGATTGTAAATATCTTGAACATGACCCGAGGGCTAGAGCAGCTTTGAGTCTTACCTTTCTCCCTGCCAGAGGCCAGGTCATGACTCACTGGCTTCCTGCAACCTGACGATGGCCCAGCCAGAAGACAAGGCACCTGAAGTCCCCACAGAGGGGGTGAGGTGAGGCTACTAGGGCTGAGGCTATGCCCTCCTTCCCCTGCATCCAGAAACCCTTTCCATCCAATACCTCCCTCACTACAGAATCCTGAATCACATCTCTGAGCCTCTGCCCTGGGCCTGCCCCTTCCTGTACCTTTGACCTCACCTCATTGTCCCACTGCCCACCTCTGACCCCTGACTCCCTGGACACTGTCCATCCCAGGCTGGTCCCACCACAGGTGAACAAAGCAGACAGGACCCCTCTAGGGGTCCTCAGCACCCTAGAGCCACTTACTCGCCTGCAGAGGACATGGGGGGTGTGGCATGTGCCAGAGCTGGATACCCAGGATGCGGAGGCCCTTGTGGGGCTGTGGCCACTAGGGGTGAGTACTCACAGCTGGGGGCCCATCCTGACACCCTAGATTAGGACTCTGCTGGTTACTAGTGACAAACATGACACAAATTGGGCAAACCAAAAAGGCTATTTATTGCTGGGTGCAATGGCTCATGCCTGCAGTCCTAGCTACTCATGAGGCTGAGGTGGGAGGATCATTTGAGCTCAGGAGGTCAAGGCGGCAGTGAGCTGAGATCATGCCACTTCACTTGAGCCTGGGTGATGGAGCAAGACCCTGTCTAAAAAAAAAAAAAAAAAAATGTAATTTCAAGAAGCTCTGGATCCTGAACTTCAGAACACTTATAAATTCCTCTTCATCCCATTTCTTGGCTTTGCTTTCAACTGCGGGGAATTTTGGATATTTGGGACTGAATATAACAAACACCTGTCCTACAGCGGTTTAAACAAATAGGCATTTATCTTCCTAACATAACCAAAAAGGCAGCTGCTGGCTTTAGATCAGCAGTGCAGTGACATTGAGGCCAGCATAGCTATAATTCTCTTGGACTTCTCTCACAGCTTCCCGGGGGCTGCCCCAGGCCCAAGCACCTGCGTGCATTCCAGGCAGGAAGAACAGAGGCACCACTTGCATCTGTTTATTTTACAGGAAAAATAAAGGTTTTCTTTTCTTTTTTTTTTTAATTTTGAGAGTTTCACTCTTGTTGCCCAGGCTGGAGTGCAATGGCATGATCTCGGCACACTGCAACTTCCGCCTCCCAGGTTCAAGCGATTCTCCTGCCTCAGCCTCCTGAGTAGCTGGGATTACAGGCATCTGCCACAACGCCCGGCTAATTTTTTGTATTTTTAGTAGAGATGGGATTTCACCATGTTGGCCAAGCTGGTCTCAAACTCCTGACGTCAGGTGATCCACCCACCTCTGCCTCCCAAAGTGCTGGGATTACAGGTGTGAACCACCGTCCCCGGCCAAAATAAAGGTTTTCACAACTGATTCAGAAAATATAGATGGCTGGCCGGGTGTGCTGACTCACGCCTGTAATCCCAGCATTTTGGGAGGCTGAGGTAGGAGGCTCGCTTAAGCCTAGGAGTTCAAGACCAGCCTGGGCAACAGAGCAAGGCCCAGTCTCTATTAAAAAAAAAAAAAAAAGAAAAAAGAAAAAAAAAAGGATGGGGCCCAGGTAGCAATATTTTTAATTTTTTTATTTATTATTTTTATTATTATTTTTTGAGATGGAGTCTCCCTCTGTCACCCAAGCTGGAGTGCAGTGGCACGATATTGGCTCACTGCAACCTCTGCCTCCCGGGTTCAAGCGATTCTCCTGCCTCAGCCTCCCGAGTAGCTGGGATTACAGGCGCCCGCCATTACACCCGGCTAATTTTTGTATTTTTAGTAGAGACTGGGATTCACCACGTTGGCCAGGGTGGTCTCGAACTCCTGCCCTCAGGTGATCCACCCGCCTCGGCCTCCCAAAGTGCTGGGATTACAGGCGTGAGCCACCGTGCCCGGCTGTAGCAATATTTTTAACAGCTCTCTTGGGACGTATACAGCCAGAGCTAAGAACCACCACCTATATCAATCATGATCCATATATCAATCATACTCATGGCTGGGTATATTAATGCCGTGAACAAGGAATTCTGCAAGGAATGTGGAATAGGTTTGGAGACGACAGCAAACGGGGGCTACCACAGCTTCCTCCTCAGGAGGGTATCATCCTTCCCAGCTCAGAGCTGTATCCCACCAGTTTAGCAACACCAGTGTAACAAATGAAGTCTTTCCAAAAGAGCTCCAGCACGCAGTGGCTCACGCCTATTATCCCAGCACTATGAGAGGCTGAGAAGAGCGGATCACTTGAAGTCAGGAGTTCAAGACTAGCCTGGCCAATGTGGTGAAACTCTGTCTCTGCTAAAAATACAAAAACTTAGCCGGGCGTGGTGGCAGTCGCCCGTAATCCCAGCTACTTGGGAGGCTGAGGCAGGAGAATCGCTTGACCCCGGGAGGCGGAGGTTGCAGTGGGCAGAGATTGTGCCACTGCACTCCAGCCTGGGCGACAGGGCAAGACTCCGTCTCAAAAAAAAAAAAATCCTGTGGAAGATGTCCATTGGCTGAGCTTGAGTCACATGCCTGTTCCCTGAACCAAACAGTGGGCCGAGAGCACCCTCATCCTGTTGGCTAGATCAGGTCATGGGCCCACCCCGCCAGGGCTTGGGGGAAGTCAGCCCAACACACATGGACTGAAAGTAGGGAGAGGGTTTCCCTAAAGGAAATTTGGGGTGTGGAACCCAAAATAAGGGAAATGGATGCTAGTCAGGCAAAAGCAACAGACATCTGCGCACACCTTTGTCACGCTGGCCTTTGTCTCTATCCCCCAGAGTTTCTTGGTCACAGGACGTGACCCCAGCCAGGCCCTGGTGTTGAGGTCAGGACCTTTACCAGGAGAAGTCAATACCTACCAGATCCAGAAGATTCCCAGAGGTAAGGCACCTCCCCTGAGGTTCCAGCCCACAGTCAATTGATCACTAAGAACTATCAGCTGGACCGGCGCGGTGGCTCACGCCTGTAATCCCAGCACTTTGGTAGGTCGAGGCGGGTGGATCGCTTGAGGCCAGGATTTTGAGACCAGCCTGGCCAACATGGCAAAACCCCGTCTCTACAAAAAATACAAAAATTAGCCGGGCTTGGTGACGCGCGACTGTAATCCCAGCTACTTGGCAGGCCGAGGCACGAGAATAGCTTGAACCCAGGAGGCAGAGGTTGCAGTGAGCCAAGATCACACCACTGCCCTCCAGCCTTGGCAACAGAGGGAAACCCTGCCAAAACAAAACAAAACAAAAACACCTGTCAGCTTTGTTTCCAAAATATCTGATGAATATTTCCAATCCTGTCTCCCTTTCCTTCCCACAATCCATTCTGAGCCCAAGATATTTTTCAGTATCAATCAGATGTTATACACCCCTGCCCCAAATCCTGCAAAGAGCATGCAACGTCCTTAGATACAAAATGTAAACTCCTTGTCATGATCTATAAGGTGCTGTGTGATGTAGTTCCTTCCTGTCTCTCTATCTATTGCCCCTCATTCACTCTGCCCCATACACACTGTTACACTCTGTGTGTCTTTAGCATGCTAAGTGTGTTCCAGCTTCAGGACCTCTGCTTGGGTTCATCCTGTATGAATGCTTTTCCTAGAGGGGCTGGTTTAGTCTCCATCCTCCAGGCCTCTGCAGAAATGTAACCTTTCTTGACCATCATAGTTAAAAGATGGCACCTTGGTCACTTTCTTTTTCTTTTTTCTTTTAGACAGAGTCTCACTCTGTCGCTCAGGCGGAGTGCAGTGGCCCAATCTCAACTCACTGCCACCTCTACCTCCCAGGTTCAAGCAATTCTCATGCCTCTCAGCCTCCCAAGTAGCTGGGATTACAGGTGCACACCACCACACATGACTAATTTTTTGGTTTATTTTTATTTTTATTTATTTATTTTTTATCGTACTTTAAGTTTTGGGATACATGTCCAGAATGTGCAGGTTTGTTACATAGGTATACAGGTGTCATGGTGGTTTGCTGCACCCATCAACCCATGATCTACATTAGGTATTTCTTCCTAATGCTATCCCTCCCCTAGGCCCCCACCTCCCAATTTTTTGTATTTTTAATAGAGATGGGTTTTGCCATGTTGGCCAGGCTGGCTTGAACTCCTGACCTCAAGTGATCCACCCACCTCAGCCTCCCAAAGTGATGGGATTACAGGCGTAAGTCACCATGCCTGGCCTCTTGGTCACTTTCAATCACTCCATTTTCTTCATAGCACTCAATACAATATCCACTTTGTTTACTCGTTTTTAAAATTTATTTTTATTTATTTATTTATTTATTTATTGAGATAGTCTCACTTTTGTCGCCCAGGCTGGAGTGCAATGGCTTAATCTCAGGTCACTTCAACCTCCACTTCCCGAGTTCAAGTGATTCTCCTGCCTCAGGCTCCCAAGTATCTGGGATTACAGGCGCCCACCACCATGCCCAGCTAATTTTTGTATTTTTAATAGAGATGGGGTTTCGCCATGTTGGCCAGGCTGGTCTCGAACTCCTGACTTCAGGTGATTCACCCACCTCGGCTTCCCAAAGTGCTAGAATTACAGGCGTGAGCCACCGTACCCTGACTGTTTATTCATTTATATTCTGCCTTTTCCCCCTCCGCCCCCCGCTAAAAGGTAAGCTACAGGAAGGCAGTGAACTTGTCTGCCTTTTGATAACTGTATCTCCAGTGCCTAGAAAGGACTAAGGGCTCAGTAAATGTTTGTCTAATGAATGAATCCTTGTTGGTGGCATAAGTGGTACACAAGAGTAAAGATGGAGACTCCAAAGAGTGGGAACTTCCCTGTTCTGAAGGTCCCTGGGGGGATTCTGAAGGAATGGAGGAGCAAGAGCATCCCAGGGGACAGAAAACTGCCACCACTCAAGTTTACTTTCTCCTTCTTCCTCCCCCCACCACAGGTGTGTCCCTGGAATCCTCCAACCTCTGCATGCCAGACCTGCCCCATCTCCTGGCCTTTCTATCAGCCAGCAGGTACAGGTCACCCATCTGAGGCACTAAGGGGGACCCTTCCCTAAGACACCCCACTGACACTGTGGCTCCCACCTCTTTATTCTCAGGGATGTTCTGCCCAGAACCCTGCTCTTGCCCCCTCCCACTCTAGGGCCCAGAGATGAACACACAGGTGAGGCACGGTTCTCTAAAGAGGGCACAGCCAACCTGCCAATTTCCTTGCTCCAAGGGAATGAATGGGGCTTTGGGGCCCAGACTACTGGGTTTGAGGAGAATATAGAACTGGAGACTAGAGAGAGCTGGGGGCCTGGACTTTGTAGTCCCAGAGGGAGGAGGGGATGGGGGCCTGTATTCCTAGGTCCTAACAGAGGAGAGGATTGGAGGAGGAAGGAACTGGGGGTCCCGGACGCCTGGGCCTAAGTGAGAAGGGGACTAGGGGCCTGGACTCCTGGGTCTGACTGAGGAGGGGCCAGGAGCTAAGCCTCAGCACCTCCAGCAATGAAGCTGGGAAGTAAGTCTCCTGGCGCCTTGAGGGGACCAGGGTTGGTCCCTTGGATACCTAGGACACCTTCTCACTTCTGCTGGCTCCAGATCCTGTGCAGATCGGCAGGGTCCAACAGGACACCCCAGGGAAGGTGCTTTCCATTGTGAACCAGCTCTACCTGGAGACCCACAGAGGCTGGGGGAGGGAGCAGACCCCTCAAGAAACAGAGCCAGAGGCTGCTCAGAGACATGATCCAGGTTAGCTGGGCGGGGCCCTGGGCCTCTGAAGGGGAGGGAGCTGCTGCCCCTGTTCTAGGCGACCGAATGCCCTCCTCACTTCCAGCCCCCAGGAACCCTGCGCCTCACGGGGTCTCCTGGGTGAAAGGCCCGCTCAGCCCGGAAGTGGACCATCCTGGGCCGGCTCTCGCCAGCCTACTGGAAGAGGAGGAGGAAGACCTTGAAGGAAAGGAGGAAGGAAGGGAGGACGACCCTGAAGAGGAAGGCCCTGAGGACGTGCTCACCATTCACGTCCAGTCTCTGGTCAGGGCCCGGAGCAGCTACGTGGCCAGGCAGTACCGAAGCCTTCGGGTGCGCATCGCCTCAGATTCTGGGGGTCCCCACGGGTCTGGGGACCCGGCCACGGAGCTGCTTCAGGATGTGCGGCACCTCCTTACTGACCTCCAGGATCACCTGGCAAAGGACTCCTACATCAGGGCTGTCTTTGGAAGCAGGGGTCCTGGGCTCCCCAAGAAGGACGAGGATCCAGGTAATGGGAGGACTGGAAGGGAGCCCCCACGGGTTCAAGTGTGCAACTTCGTCCTCTCCATCGGTGCGCACACGTTTCCTTCTGCACCCACACGCCCTTCCTACACATCCCACGCGTTCTATCGCCCACGTATGCGCGCAAGTTCACACCCAGGCTAACT
Organism: Homo sapiens; assembly: GCF_000001405.40. Classification (NCBI taxonomy): domain Eukaryota; kingdom Metazoa; phylum Chordata; class Mammalia; order Primates; family Hominidae; genus Homo; species Homo sapiens. The sequence continues at coordinate 280,081 of NW_014040929.1, read as the reverse complement.
CTTCCACACATGTTCACAACCATGTCTACACTCACGGGGGACCAGAGCTAGGCAGGGGTGGCTGTGGGCCAGGGTGGGTTGTTGGAGCGCGTGGGTGGGCGTGGGACAACTTGGCGGTCCTGTGCTCACCCGTCCCCCACACCCCGCAGGCCCCGCGCTGGAGACGGCGGTGTGCCAGGCGGTGCTGGCGCCCCTGAAGCCGGCCCTGTGGACACGACTCCGCACACTCCGAGCACCGGAGCTGCGGCGGCTGCGGCGGCGACAGACAGCCCTGCGGGCGGGGGCGGGGCCTCCGGGGGCACAGGGGCCGGGACCGGAAGGGCAGAGCCCCGCCCCCGCCTTGCGGAGCCGCATCCACGAGCGCCTTGCGCACCTCCACGCTGCCTGCGCCCCGCGCCGCAAGGTGGCGCTCCTCTTGGAGGTGTGCAGAGATGTCTATGCGGGCCTGGCTCGAGGCGAGAACCAAGGTAAGGGAGGGGTCAACGTCTAGCGTGGTGGGGAGAGCCTTGAGAGTTGGAGCCAGGCGGGAGAGGGTAGCACTGGTGGGAGGAATCTATGCGGTCCTGAAGATTCTGGTAGGAGGCGCTGTCATGCCCGACAAGGTGGAGGGGCAGCCAGCCCTCGTGGTCCTGGGGATCGGATGGAAGGTGTCTACGCGCCTTGAGATGGGGATCCATCTCAAGACCTTTCCTCTGGTTTTCCCAGATCCCCTGGGGGCCGACGCCTTCCTGCCGGCGCTGACCGAGGAACTCATCTGGAGCCCGGACATTGGGGACACGCAGCTGGACGTAGAGTTTCTTATGGAGCTCTTAGATCCAGATGAGCTGCGGGGAGAGGGTGAGCCCCCAACTCCAGAATGCTGGAGCCCAGCGATCCAGTACCTCCGGGATCCCAAACAGCCTCCCCCCGCAGCAGGAGGGACGGCAGGCAAACTGCAGGGGGATTTGGGGCGACCAGGGAAGCCGAGAGGGCGGAGCTGACTTCCCTTTCTGTCCCCAGCTGGGTACTACCTGACCACGTGGTTTGGGGCGCTGCACCACATTGCCCACTACCAGCCCGAAACAGACCGCGCTCCCCGGGGGCTCAGCTCCGAGGCCCGCGCCTCCCTGCACCAGTGGCACCGCAGGCGGACGCTGCACAGAAAGGATCATCCCAGAGCCCAGGTGACTGCCCATCTGGCTGCAAGTAGAAGGGAGGGTGAGACCTGGTGCCCTTCTGACCCAGCTCCCACCTCTCCCCACAGGCCAACCTGCCCTTTAAGGAGCCATGGGCAGAAGAGACTGTGACAGGGACCAGTGACAACTAGGGGTTTCACACCCCTCCGTTCATGCCTGTAATCCCAACATTTTGGGAGGCCAAGGTGGGAGGATTGCTTGAGCCCAGGAGTTTGAGACCAGCCTGGGCAAAACAGTGGGACCCCCATCTACCAAAAAAAAAAAAAAACAAAAATTAGCCGGGCGTGGTGGCGTACTCCTGTGGTACCAGCTACTCAGGAGGCTTTGCAGTTTTAGACAGGCGTATCAGAGAAAGCCTCACTGAGGTGACATCTGCAGAAAGGCCTGAAGGAGGGGAGGGGAAGGGAGGAGCAGAGTGGGTATTAGGAAGAGCATTCCGAGAAGCAGGATGAGCCAGTGCAAAGGCCCAGAGGTAGGCTGTTCCCTTTTCCTGGGACCCCTCCCTCCTCCTTGCTGCTCCTAAACCACATAGGTCAGGAGTCTGGACTGACCCAGGTACGTCTGGCATCTTGCTTGAGGAACAGGGGGTTTTGTTTTGTTTTGAAAGAACGTCTCTGTCTGTTGCCCAGGCTGGAGTGTAGTGGCATGATCTCGGCTCACTGCAGCCTTAACCTCCTGGCTCAAACAAGCCCCCTGCCTCTGCCTACCAAGTAGCTGAGACTACAGGCACCTACCACCGTGCCTGTCTAATTTTTAAAATTTTTTATAAAGATGAGGTCTCTCTTTGTTGCCCAGGCTGGTCTCAAACTCCTAACCTCAAGCAATCTGCCCACGTCGGCCTCCCAAAGTGCTGAGATTATAGGCGTGAGCCACCGTGCCCAATTGTGATCGTTTTTCCCAAAGAATGTATCACATGCTAACAAACCATATATTTATGTATTTCATTGTTCATAGTAACTACAATTTAAAAAACTAAAAAGAAACAAGTGAGGCCGGGTGCGGTTGCTCATGCCTGTAATCCCAGCACTTTGGGAGGCCAAGGTGGGCAGATCACCTGAGGTCGGGAGTTCAAGACCAGCCTGACAAACATGGAGAAACCCGTCTCTACTAAAAATACAAACTTAGCCGGGCATGGTGGCGCATGCCTGTAATCCCAGCTACTCCGGAGGCTAAGGCAGGAGAATGGCTTGAACCCGGGAGGCGAAGATTGCGGTGAGCGGAGATTGCGCCATTGCACTCCAGCCTGGGCAACAAGAGTGAAACACCATCTCAAAAATAAATAAATAAATAAAAAGAAACAAGTGAAGTTAACGTTAATAATAATATATTTGATTTAACACAATGTATCCCAAATATTATCACTTCAACATGTATCCATATTAAAAAGTTACTGACATATTTAAAACTTTGTATGTTTGTGTGTGTGTATGCTAAAGCTTTGAAATTTACTGTGCATTTTACACTTAATCACATCACAGTTTGGACTAGTCACATTTCAAGTATGCACTAGCTACATGAGGTATCTATCTGTGTCTATACGTATAGATATATCTATATATAGATAGATTTATATATTTACAAAAATAAAAAATAATTTATATATAAATTAAAATATTTAATTTATAATCATAATAATTATATTAATTTATAAAATAATATAAATATTATAAAACAATAATATAATAATTTATATATATATAACTTTTTTTCAATTTGTAAATAAACTGGACAGCCTCCAAACCACAATAGGTTCAGAGAGGCTCCTGACGTTGGCTTTTTTTTTTCTTACCTCACATGTGTAGCAGCTGGACTGACCCTGGCTGTTCGAAGAGCCCTGGCCAGTTGTCCTGTGGACAGTCCCAGTTTCTGGCCTCGTCTGCTGCTTCCTCATGATTAAAATCTGGTCTTGCAGCTGTGGGGAAGAATACTCCGCAGGGACGCTGTGTCCTTCTCGGTACCTGAATCCCATCAGGGGCCGTGATTGGTAAAGCTAACTTTGACCATTGAGCTAAGGAGATAGGCTAGTCGGCTAGAGCTGCCATCAAAAAGACCACAGATGGCCGGGTGCGGTGGCTCACGCTTGTAATCCCAACACTTTGGGAGGCTGAGGCAGGTGGGTCACGAGGTCAGGAGTTCGAGACCAGCCTGGCCAACATGGTGAAACCCCGTCTCTACTAAAAATACAAAAAAAAAAATTAGCCGGGCATGGTGACGCGCCTGTAATCCCAGCTACTCGGGAGGCTGAGGCATGGTGATGCGCGCCCATAATCCCAGCTACTCAGGAGGCTGGGGCAGGAGAATCGCTTGAACCTGGGAGGCGGAGGTTGCAGTGAGCTGAGATTGTGCCACTGCACTCCAGTCTGGGCGACAGAGCGAGACTCTGTCTCAAAAAAGAAAAAAAAAAGATCACAGACTGTGTGGCTTAAACAACAGAAATTTATTTCCTCCCAGTGAAACTGTGTTTGCAAAATTATGACTGAGACAGTGAAAGAGATCTAACATAATTGACTCCATCTTGCTTCTAATCTCCAAGCTGTCCTTGTTCATTCCTAGATGTAGGCCGAACTAACTTTGAGAGAAAGAGTTTATAGTTTAAACAAAGTTGAAAACAGCCCTTTCCAAAGCAGAACTCCCTCTTTTTTTCTTTTTTTTTTTTTGGTGAGACAGAGTCTGGCTCTGTTGCCCAAGCTGGAGTGCAGTGGCACAATCTCAGCTCACTGCAACCTCCGCCTCCCGGGTTCAAGCAATTCTCCTGCCTCAGCCTCCTGAGTTGCTGGGACTACAGGTATGTGCCACCACGCCTGGCTAATGTTTGTATTTTTAGTAGAGACACAGTTTCACCATGTTGGCCAGGATGGTCTCGATCTCTTGACTTTGTGATCAGCCCACCTCGGCCTCCCAAAGCGCTGGGATTACAGGCGTGAGCCGCCGCGCCCAACAGCAGACCTCCTTCTTGTCTGGGAACTAGATTGCCTTTGTAGGACTAACATTAATCATAAGATTAGAAATTATGGTTTAGGAGTCATGCAGCCAGAGGCTACAAGATTCTGACCCTCCCTAAACTGCTCCTAAGATCAGTGCTTGGAACATTGTGCAGACCCTGCGCTTGATGGATCAGTGGGCACCACCAGATCAATAAACTGGCTCTTCTGATCTTGTGGCCCCCTATACAGGAACTGACTCAGCTCAAGAAGACAGCTTCGACTCCCTATGATTTCATTCCTGAGCAATCAACACTCCTGGCTCACTAGCTTCCCCCCACCCACCGCGTTGTTGTTAAAAGCTCTGATCCTAGAATGCTCAGGGAGACTGATTTGAGTAATAATACAACTCCGGTCTCCCGCACAGCGCACAGCGGGCTCTGGCTCCTCTGCGTGAATCACTCTTTTTTTTTTTTTTTTTTAAGGCGGAGTCTTGCTGTGTTGCCCAGGCTGGAGTGCAGTGGCGTGGTCTCAGCTCATTGCATCACTGGAAGCTCCGCCTCCCGGGTTCACGCCATTCTCCTGCCTCAGCTTCCCAAGTAGCTGGGACTGCAGGCACGTGCCGCCACGCCCGGCTAATTTTTTGTGTTTTTAGTAGAGACAGGGTTTCACCGTGTTAGCCAGAATGGTCTCGGTTTCCTGACCTCGTGATCCGCCCACCTCAGCCTCCCAAAGTGGTGGGATTACAGGCGTCAGCCACTGCGCCCAGCGAATTACTCTTTCTCTATTGCAATTCCCCTGTTTTGATGTATGGGCTCTGTCTAGGCAGCAGGAAACGTGAACCCCTTGGGCGGTTACAATAGTTCCAGTTCGAGGTGTCAGCACAATAGACTTCCTTCTGAGGGCTCTCTCCTTGGCTTGCAGATGGTCATCTTCTCCCCTTGTTTTTTGTTTTATTTTTTGTTGTTTGTCGGTTTGTTTTTGAGACAGGGTCTCACTCTGTCGCCCAGGCTGGAGTGCAGTGGTGTGATCTAGGCTTACTGCAATCTCCACCTCCCACGATCCTCCCACCTCAGCTTAGTAGTACTAGGACTACAGGTGCACACCACCACCATGCCCGGCTAATTTTCGGTATGTTTTGTAGAAATGGGGTTTCGTCATGTTGCCCAGGCTGGTTTTGAACTCCTGACCTCAAGTGATCCACCCGCCTCGGCCTCCCAAAGTGCTGGGATTATAGGCGTGAGCCTTTGAATTCTTGCATCATCTGTGGGTGTCACCTTGAGACCTGGTGACCAACCTGTTCCTCAACACCTTTCACCCAATGCTTTTAGCACTTCTCTGTTGTTGCTGAATCATTGGATTTATTTGTACTATTAGAGTCTATGTGTGCCAACTGACACTGGTTTTCCACTTCCTGGAGTGAAATGACATCTCCTGTTTAAATAAATGTGTTGAATTAAAAACAAAAGAGTGGGTTGATTTAAAGAAAATTATTAAGCAGTGAAGTGGGCAGGTGATGCATGAATGTGTGGCAAAAAAAAAAAAAAAAGGGACGTGAAACTCAAATGGCAGCTGTTTGGGGTATCGCTGGTTGAGGGCTTAGGGTCAAACTCAAGCTCCTGTTTGCTGTGGAGCTCTGGGCTTCATGCTAGAAGTCTCCCCTTGGGCTCTCACTCACATCATGGAAAAATAATTTTTAATAAAGGAAGTGGGCCGGGCATAGAAGCTCATGTCTGTAATCCCAGCACTTTGGGAGGTGAAGGTGGAATGATTGCTTGAGCCCAGGAGGTCAAAGCTGCAGAGCTGTGATCACACCACTGCACTCCAGCCTGGGCAACAGAGCAAGACCCCACCTCAAGAAAGAAGAAAAAAAGAAAAAGGGAGGAAGTGAACAAAGGAAGTGGTCATACCAAGCACACAGGGTTTTTTTGTTTTTGAAAAAAAAAGTTCTAGTCCACGAAAAAAGATTCAAAGAGAAAAGTCAGAAAGCCCTTTTAAATATATATATATATATATATAAAACTTGGGGCCGGGCATGGTGGCTCACGCCTGTAATCCTAGCACTTTGGGAGGCCGAGGCGGGCAGATCGCGAGGTCAGGAGTTCGAAACCAGCCTGGCCAACATGGTGAAACCCCGTCTCCACTAAAAATACAAAAATTAGCTGGGCGTGGTGGTGCACCCTTGTAATCCCAGCTACTGGGGAGGCTGAGGCAGGAGAATGGCTTCATTGAACCCAGGAGGCAGAGGTTGCAGTGAGCCGAGATCGTGTTACTGCGCTCCAGCCTGGGTGACAAGCAAGACTCAGTCTTAAAAAAAAAAAAAAAAAAAAAAAAAAAAACTTGGATATTAGCTTTTGATTAAGCTGACTTCTAACTATAAAGCTCTTTAAAATAACTACTCTTAAATTTCTTATTACCAGATTAAATTTCTTATTAAAATAAATAAATTTATTTATTTATTTATTTTATTTTTGAGATGGAGTGTCTGTCTGTTGCCCAGGCTGGAGTGCAGTGGTGCAATCTCAGCTCACTGCAACCTCCGCCTCCTGGGTTCAAACAATTCTTTTGTCTCAGCCTCCCAAGTAGCTGGGACTACAGGCAGACACCACCATGTCCGGCTAATTTTTGTATTTTTAGTAGACATAGAGTTTCACCATATTGGTCAGGCTGGTCTCGAACTCCAGACCTCAGGTGATCCACCCGCCTTGGCCTCCCAAAGTGCTGGGATTACAGGCGTGAGAGCCACAGTGCCCAGCCGTATTACCAGCTTTTAGTTGGGACAAACAGCTGGTATTCCTGGCTTGTGAACTTCTTCACCACAGGTACTCTCCCAAGTGAAACCTATAAGCCTTAACCAAGGTTATGACTTAACCAAGGATGCAGGGCATCTACAGCCGTCCTCCCAAGATCTAGAACCACTGCAAAGACAGCTCAAAGAAAGGAAAGTTTTGCTAGCTGCCAATGGAGTACAGCTCACATTTCTCTCTGGCCATATTCTCTAGGGTCTCCGCTCCACAGAGTTGACTGTTTACTCACAAAGGCCCAAAAGTCCTGAACGCCCTCACAGATGGAAGATAGGAAATAAAAAGTTGTCCGTGGAAGCAAAAAGAATCAATAGCGAGACCGGGCGCGGTAGCTCACGCCTGTAATCCCAGCACTTTGGGAGGCCGAGGCGGGTGGCTCACTTGAGGTCAGGAGTTCGAGACTAGCGTGGCCAACATGGTGAAACCCCATCTCTACTAAAAATATAAAAATTAGCTGGGCGTGGTAGCAGGCGCCTGTAATCCCAGCTACTCGGGAGGTTGAGTCAGGAGGATCACTTGAACCTGGGAGAAGGAGGTTGCAGTGAGCCAAGATAGCACCACCGCACTCCAGCCTGGGCACAACAGACCAAGACTCTGTCTCAAACAAAAGAAAAAAAAAGAATTTCAGGAACTGGCCTTAGGAAGTAACCGAGGGTGTGAGTGTCCCAGCTCCGGAAGGAAAGCTGAACAATTGATTTACAGCCTTGTTGCACCTGCCAGAACACCATGTGGCCCATTACTCAAGATAACCATCGCAGCCAGACAAGTGTCCTCATGAGTGCTCTACTCCTCACATGTTTTGCCCAGCTCAGCCTGTATATCCTCCCGCTAATGTCAATTCCAGAGCTTTGCCTAATAAAAAAGCCCTACTGGCTCTTTTCCAAGAGTCAGCCAGCAAATTTGCTCTCTTTCTCTTGTGCTGTCTCCCTCATACCCAGGCATAAACTCCAATGAAGTCTTGTCTGGGAAAACTGTTTTGGCCTCAAGTCAATTTCAGTTGCATTCAGATCCCAAGAACTTGTGGTCTGTAACACTGGGCGGGGGACAGTGAAAAACAGAGGGTTTACAAGGAGGCTCAAGAAAACTTCTGCAGGCGTGGTGGTTCACACCCATCCCAGCACTTTGGGAGGCCAAGGCAGGGGGATCACTTGAGGTCAGGAATTCAAGACCAGCCTGGGCAACATGTTGAAACCCTGTCTCTACTAAAAATATAAAAATTAGCGGCTGGGTGTGGTGGCTCATGCCTGCAATCCCAGCACTTTGGGAGACCAAGGCAGGCAGATCACCTGAAGTCAGGAGTTCAAGACCAGCCTAATCAACATGGAGAAACCCCGTCTCTACTAAAAATACAAAAAAATTTAGCCAAGCATGGTGGCACATGCCTGTAATCCCAGCTACTCAGGAGGCTGAGACAGGAGAATCGCTTGAACCTGGGAGATGGAGGTTGCAGTGAGCCGAGATCACACCATTGCACTCCAGCCTGGGCAACAAGAGCAAAACTCCATCTCAAAAAAAAAAAAAAAAAAAAATTAGCTGGGCATGGTGGTGCATGTCTGTAATCCCAGCTACTAGGGAGGCCGAGGCAGGAGAATTGCTTGAACCCAGGAGGTGGAGGCTGCAGTGAGCTGAGATCATGCCACTGCACTCCAGCCTGGGCGACAGAGCAAAATTCCGTCTCAAAAACGAAAAGAAAACTTCTGTGGGTGTGGTAGCTCACTACTGTAATCCCAGCATTTTGGGAGGCTGAGGCAGGAGGATTGCCTGAGGCCCGGAGTTTGAGATCAGCCGAGGTAACGTAGCAAGACCCCATCTCTACCAAAAAAACAAACAAAAAAAAACCCAATTATATTTATATATATAATATATATATAATATAGTATATATTATACACTATATATAATATAGTATATATTATATATACTATATATGATATGCTATATATAATATAGTATATATTATATGCTATATATGAGATACTATATAATATAGTATATATAATATATGCTATATATGATATACTATATATAATATAGTATATATAATATATGGTATATATAACTATTATATATAATATATAGTATATATAGTGTGTATATATATAACTATATATATATTTTATATACATATATATTATATATATATATATATAAAATGGCCATGGGGTGGCAGGAACCTGTAGTCCCAGCTACTTGGGAGTAAGCCACAGTGAGCTATAATCACACCACTGGACTTCAGCCTGGATAGCAGAGCAAGACTATCTCAAAAAAAAAAATAAAAAACAAAAAACAAAAAAACAAAAACACTTCCTGGGGATGATGAATACTGTTTTTACCTTGTGGTCACTATCTTGATTTGTGGTGATGGTTTCCCAGGTGTATATGTAAGTTAAAACTCATCAATTGTACACTTTAAAGGTCTGGTTTCTCACATATCAGTTAGACCTGATTGAAGCTGGGGGCGGGGAAAGGTAGGGAAAGGGTCAGGACTGCGTAATGCAAATGAGAAACTTTCCTCTAAGGGGTGGCTTTCCCCACTGGTCCCTGAGGGTGTCTGAGTTTTCAATCTGAAGCACAGCAGACCGTGAAGCTATTTCTGCTTGGAGCCGGAGGAGGCTTAACAACAAAAAAGAAGAAAGCAGGTCGGGCACAGTGGCTCATGCCTGTAATCCCAGCACTTTGGGAGGCCGAGGCAGGCGGATCGTAAGGTCAGGAGATAAGAGACCAGCCTGGCCAACAAGGCAAAACCCAGTCTCTACTAAAATTACAAAAATTAGCCGGGCATGGCGGCGGGCGCCTGTAGTCCCAGCTACTTGGGAGGCTGAGGTAGGAGAATCGCTTGAACCTTGGAGGTAGAGGTTGCAGTGAGCCGAGATTGCACCATTGCACTCCAGCCTGGGCGACAAGAGCTAAACTCCGTCCCCCAAAAATAAAAATTTAATTTAATTTAAAAAACATGGGTGAAACTTGAAAACATGCTAAGAGAATCAGACACAAAAGGCTACATACTATATTTTTCCATTTATATGATGTGGGTGAAAGATTACCTAGGTGCCGAGGCAAGAGACTGAAGGCACAAACTGTTTCAGTATAATAAAGAAAATAGTTAGAATAAGAATAGTCATAATACAAATTAGATATAGAGATGATCATGGACAATTATCAATCATTATTATAAACATTATTAATCATTAGCTTTTAATATTACTCTTTGTTGCATTACTAATATACCCTAAGGATAACCGGTGGGTATAGGGTCAGGTGCTGAAGGGACATTGTGAGAAGTGACCTAGAAGGCAAGAGGTGAGCCCTCTGTCACGCCCACATAAGGGCCGCTTGAGGGCTCCTTGGTCAAGCGGTAATGCCAGTGTCTGGGAAGACGCCCATTACTTAGCAGACCGCGAAAGGGAGTCTCCTTTCCTTGGAGGAGTCAGGGAACACTGCTCCACCAGCTTCTTCTGGAAGGCTGGATATTATCCAGGCCTGCCTGCAGTCACCGGAGGCCTAAACCCCTCCCTGTGGTGCTGTGCTCCAAAGGTCACGCTCCTTGTCCACTTTCACGTTCCTCCCGTACTCCTGGATCCTCTTTGAAGTTGGTAGTAGATAGCGGTAGAAGAAATAGTGAAAGTCTTAAAGTCTTTGATCGTTCTTATAAGTGCATAGAAGAAAACGCTGACGTATGCTGCCTTCTCTCTCTGCTTTGGCTACCTAAAAGGGAAGGGCCCCCCACCCCCGTCCTATGATCACGTGACTTGCTTCACCTTATCAATCACTTAGAGGATTCACCCTCCTTACCCTGCCCCCCTTGTCTCGTATGCAATAAATATCAGCGCGCCCAGCCGTTCGGGGCCACTACCAGTCTCCACAACTTGATGGTAGTGGTCTCCCGGGCCCAGCTGTTTTCTCTTTATCTCTTTGTCTTGTGTCTTTATTTATTACCATCTCTCATCTCTGCACACGGGGAGAACACCTGCTAAGCCCCGTAGGGCTGGACCCTACAATATGAAATGTCCAGACTAGACAAATCCATAGAGACAGAAAGTAAATTGGCGGCTGCCGGGGGCTGAGGGGAGTGACTGCTGAAGGATATGGAGGCTGGGCACAGTGGCTCACGCCTGTAATCCTAGCACTTTGGGAGGCTGAGGTGGGCGGATTGCAACGTGGCAAAACCCCGTCTCTACTAAAAATTCAAAACACTAGCGGGGTATGGTGGTGGGCGCCTGTAATCCCAGCTAGTCCAGAGGCTGAGGCAGGAGAATTGCTTGAACCAGGAGGCGGAGGTTGCAGTGCGGCGAGATCACGCCATTACACTCCAGCCTGGGCGACAGAGCAAGACTCTGTCTCGAAAAACAAAAAAAGGGTATGGAGTTCCTTTTGAGGGTAATATTCCAGAATCAGACAGTGATGATGGTTGCATGACTATGTGAGCATACTAAAAACCACTCAACACTCAATCATACATATACACAAACATACACACACACACACAAAACTTCTTCCTCCCAGGTTCAAGTGACTCTGGTGCTTCAGCCTCCAGAGTGGCTGGGACTACAGGCGTGCACCACCACGCCTGGCTAATTTTTGTATTTTTAGTAGAGAGGTGGTTTCGCCATGTTGACCAGGCTGGTCTCAAACTCCTGACCTCAGTGATTTGCCCACCTCGGCCTCCCACATAGCTGGGATTATAGGTGTGAGCCACCAGCCCAGCCAGTCATACACTTTAAAAGAGTTAATATTTGGCTGGGTGCAATGGCTCACGCCTGTAATCCCAGCACTTTGGGAGGCTGAGGCGGGCGGATCACCTGAGGTCAGGAGTTCGAGGTCAGCCTGGCCAACATGCAGAAACCCCATCTCTACTAAAAATACAAAAATTAGCCGGGCATTGTGGCAGGTGCCTATAATCCCAGCTACTTGGGAGGCTGAGGCAGGAGAATCGTTTGAACCCAGGAGGCAGAGGTTGCAGTGAGATGAGATCGCATCACTGCACTCCAGCCTGGGCGACAAAGCGAGACTGCGTCTCAAATAAATAAATAAATATATAAAGAGTTAATATTATGGTATGTGAAATATAGCTTAATAAAGATGTTATATTTTTTAATCCAAAAAAAATCTGATCTCATCACTCTTCTGTTTTTTGTGGAGTTTTTTGGAAAGAAGTTATCACTCTGTTGCCCAGGCTAAAGTGCAGTGGTGCAATCATAGCTCACTGCAGCCTCAAACTCCTGGGCTCAAGTGATCCTCCTGCCTGAGTCTCCTGAGGACCTGGGACTAGGGGCATTACACCATGCCCAGCTAATTTTTTTCCTTTTTTTTTTTTTTTGAGATGGAGTTTCACTTTTGTTGCCCAGGCTGGAGTGCAATAGCACAGTCTTGACTCACTGCAACTTCTGCCTCCTAGGTTCAAGTTGATTCTTCCGCCTCAGCCTCCCAAGTAGCTGGGATTATAGGCACCCACCACCATGCCCAGCTAATTTTTGTATTTTTAGTAGAAATGGGGTTTCACCATGTTGGCCAGGATGGTCTCAAACTCCTGACCTCAGGTGATCCACTCGCCTTGACCTCACAAAGTGCTGGGATTACAGGTATGAGCCACCGCACCTGGCCTTTTACTTTTTTTTTGTAGAGATGGTGTCTCACTATGTTAGCCAGGCTCATCTAAAACTCCTGGCCTCAAGGGATCCTCCTGCCTTAACATTCCCAGAGTGCTGGGATTACAGGCTTGAGCCACCATGCTCAGCTTGTCATTCTGGTTTTTAACCCTCTCATGGTTCTTTTCTCACTTAGTAATAAGACCAAAGTCCTCATCCTCAGCCCGTCTCAGTGGGCCCCACATAACGTGCCCCCATCACCCCTCTGACCTTGTCCCCTCAGACTCACCCTGTCACTCCCTCTGCCCAGCCACAAAGGTCTTCAGTTCTCATGTCAGGGCTTTTTGTGTGTGTGTGTGTGTGTGTGTGTGTGTGTGTGTGTGTGTGGCGGAATTTCGCTCGTTGCCCAGGCTAGAGTGCAGTGGCGTGTGATCTCAGCTCACTGTAACCTCAGCCTTCCGGTTTCAAGTGATTTTCCTGCCTCAGCCTCCTGAGTAGCTGGGATTACAGGCAACCACCACGACGCCCAACTAATTTTTGTATTTTTAGTAGAAATGGGGTTTCACCGTGTTGGCCAGGCTGGTCTTGAACCTCGTGATCTGCCCACCTCGGCCTCCCAGTGCTGGGATTACAGGCGTGAGCCACCATGCCCAGCCGACTTCAGGGCTTTTGCATTTGCTGTTTCTTCTCCCTGGGATGTTTTTTCTCTAGCTGTTCCAATTCCCATGTGAACACATATGGTATACGCTCACATACACACACACGATTCATTCAATAAGGTAAATATAAAGTAAATTAAAATTAAAACCAGTTTTTACCTCAGATTGACAAATGTAAAACAAAATGTGCAGTATTTTGAGATAGTGGGGAAAATTCATTTTTTACATAGAAATGCTGAGAACTCAAATTGTTACAGTGCTAATGGAGGGTAATTTGGCAAAATCTTTCAAAATGCAAAATGTACCAACTTGCAAGTATTTTAGCAAACCACAACAACAAAATAAGTTAAAAATGCCATCTGTCTGAGAGAAATTAGAATGGAAGTTCCAAAACACCTTTCTGTAAAATGCAGCCAAATTAAAATGGAGAGGGAAATTCAGAGCCTCCGTGCTTATATTAGAAAAGGAGAAAGACGTATCAAAATTTAAGAAGTTTTGGAAAAGAACAGCAGAAGAAACCTAGGCGCTCTCCCTCTCCCTCTCCCTGTCCCTGTCCCTCTCCCTCTCCCCATGGTTTCCCTCTCCCTCTCTTTCCACGGTCTCCCTCTCATGCCGAGCCGAAGCTGGACTATACTGCTGCCATCTCGGCTCACTGCAACCTCCCTGCCTGATTCTCCTGCCTCAGCCTGCGGAGTGCCTGCAATTGCAGGTGCGCGCCGCCACGCCTGACTGGTTTTCGTATTTTTTTGGTGGAGACGGGGTTTCGCTGTGATGGCCAGGCTGGTCTCCAGCTCCTAACCGCGAGTGGTCCGCCAGCCTCGGACTCCCGAGGTGCCGGGATTGCAGACGGAGTCTGGTTCTCTCAGTGCTCAATGGCGCCCAGGCTGGAGCGCAGTGGCGTGATCTCGGCTCGCTACAACCTCCACCTCCCAGCCGCCTGCCTTGGCCTCCCAAAGTGCCGAGATTGCAGCCTCTGCCAGGCCGCCACCCCGTCTGGGAAGTGAGGAGCGTCTCTGCCTGGCCGCCCATCGTCTGGGACGTGAGGAGTCCCTCTGCCTGGCTGCCCAGTCTGGAAAGTGAGGAGCGTCTCTGCCCAGCCGCCATCCCATCTCGGAAGTGAGGAGCGCCTCTTCCCGGCCGCCATCACATCTAGGAAGTGAGGAGCGTCTCTGCCCGGCCGCCCATCGTCTGGGATGTGGGGAGTGCCTCTGCCCCGCCGCCCCGTCTGGGATGTGAGGAGCGCCTCTGCCCGGCCGCCACCCCGTCTGGGAGGTGAGGAGCGTCTCTGCCCGGCCGCCCCGTCTCAGAAGTGAGGAGACCCTCCGCCCGGCAGCCGCCCCGTATGAGAAGTGAGGAGCCTCTCCACCCGGCAGCCGCCCCGTCTGGGAAGTGAGGAGCATCTCCGCCCGGCAGCCACCCCGTCCGGGAGGGAGGTGGGGGGTCAGCCCCCCGCCCGGCCAGCCGCCCCGTCCGGGAGGTGAGGGGCGCCTCTGCCCGGCCGCCCCTACTGGGAAGTGAGGAGCCCCTCTGCCCGGCCAGCCGCCCCGTCCGGGAGGGAGGTGGGGGGGTCAGGCCCCGCCCGGCCAGCCGCCCCGTCCGGGAGGGAGGTGGGGGGGTCAGCCCCCCGTCTGGCCAGCCGCCCGGTCCGGGAGGGAGGTGGGGGGGTCAGCCCCCCGCCCGGCCAGCCGCCCCGTCCGGGAGGTGAGGGGCGCCTCTGCCCGGCCGCCCCATCTGGGAGGTGAGGAGCCCCTCTGCCCGGCCACCACCCCGTCTGGGAGGTGTACCCAACAGCTCATTGAGAGCGGGCCAGGATGACAATGGCGGCTTTGTGGAATGGAGGGGGGGGAAAGGTGGGGAAAAGATTGAGGAATGGGATGGTTGCCGTGTCTGTGTAGAGGGAGGTAGACATGGGAGACTTTTCATTTTGTTCTGTACTAAGAAAAATTCTTCTGCCTTGGGATCCTGTTGATCTGTGACCTTACCCCCAACCCTGTGCTCTGAAACATGTGCTGTGTCCACTCAGAGTTAAATGGATTAAGGGCGGTGCAAGATGTGCTTTGTTAAACAGATGCTTGAAGGCAGCATGCTCCTTAAGAGTCATCACCACTCCCTAATCTCAAGTACCCAGGGACACAAACGGTGCAGAAGGCCGCAGGGTCCTCTGCCTAGGAAAACCAGAGACCTTTGTTCACTTGTTTATCTGCTGACCTTCCCTCCACTATTGTCCTATGACCCTGCCAAAAGCCCCTCTGTGAGAAACACCCAAGAATGATCAATAAAAAAAAAATAAATAAAATAAAATAAAATTAAATTAAATTAAAAAAAAAAAAAAAGAAACCTAGGCTTGGTGCCATGGCTCACACCTACAATCCTAACACTTTGGGAGGCTGAGGTGGGAGGATTGCTTGAGCCCAGGAGTTCAAGATCACCCTGGGCAACATAGTGAGACCCCTGCCTCTACAAAAAAAAAAATAAATAAAAATAAAAAAATTAAAAAAATTTAAAAAAATTAGGGTGGCTGGGCGCTGTGGCTCATGCCTGTAATGCTAGTAGCACTTTAGGAGGCCGAGGTGGGCAGATCACTTGAGGCCAGGAGTTAAGACCAGCCTGGACAACATGGTGAAACCCCGTCTCTACTAAAAATACAAAAATTAGCCTGGCATGGCGGCGTGTGCCTGTAATTCCAGCTACTCAGGAGGTTGAGGCAGAGGAATCGCTTGAACCTGGGAGGCAGAGGTTGCAGTGAGTGGAGATCACACCCCTGCACTCCAGCCTGGGCAACAAAGTGAGACTCCATCTCAAAAAAAAAAAAAAAAAAATTAGGGTATGATGGCATGTGCTTGCGGTCTCAGCTACTCAGGAGGCTGAAGTGGGAGGATCACTTGAGCCTAGGAGGTCGAGGCTGCAGTGAGCTGTGTATGCATCACTGCACTCCAGCTTGGGGGACAAATTGAAACTCTTGTCTCAAAAGAAAAAAAAAAAAGAATGAGACCTTCTCATATACTGCTGGTGGGAATATATGGTACAGATATATTGAATAACAATTTGTTACTACCCAATAATGTCAAAATATGTTACACGACCCAGCAATCCCACTCCTACCTACATGCCCTTAAAACTCTCACACATGGACACAAGAAGATATCACTAGGAATGGTCACAGCAGCATTACTATTTTTTCTTTATTTTATTTATTTATTTATTTTTTACTTTTATTTATTTATTTTTGAGACGGAGTCTCGCTCTGTCGCCCAGGCTGGAGTACAGTGGAGCGATCTCGGCTCACTGCAAGCTCCGCCTCCTGGGTTCACGTCATTCTCCTGCCTCAGCCTCCCCAGTAGCTGGGACTACAGGCGCCTGCCACCATGCCCAGCTAATTTTTTTTTTAATTTTTTTTTTATTTTTAGCAGAGACGGGGTTTCACCGTGTTAGCCAGGATGGTCTTGATCTCCTGACCTCGTGATCCAGCCGCCTCAGCCTCCCAAAGTGCTAGTATTACAGGTGTGAGCCACCGTGCCCGGCCTATTTTATTTATTTTAGTTTTTTGAGACAGAGTCTCACTCTGTTGCCCAGGTTAGAGTGCAGTGGCACAATCTCGGCTCACTGCAAACTTCACCTCCCGGGTTCAAGCAATTCTCCTGCCTTAGCATTCTGAGTAGCTGGGATTACAGGCGCCTGCCACCACGCCAGCCTAATTTTTGTATTTTAAGTAGAGACCGGGTTTCGCCATGTTAGCCAGGCTGGTCTCGAACCCCTGACCTCAAGCGATTCTCCTGCCTCGGCCTCCCAAAGTGCTACGATTACAGGCGTGAGCCACGGCGCCCAGCCATATTTTTCTGGGGTGTTGTTTGTTTTTGAGACAGGGTCTCGCTTTGTCAGCCTCCACCTCTTGGGCTCAAGTGATCCTTCCGCCTCAGCCTCCCCAGTAGCTGGGACTACAGTTGCACGCCACCACGCCCAGCTAATTTTTTTGTATTTTATGTAGAGAGAAGGTTTCACCATGTTGCCCAGGCTGGTCACGAGCTCCTGGACTTAAACAATCTGCCCACCTCGGCCTCCCAAAGTGCTGGGATTACAGGGGAAGCCACCGTGCCCGGCTGGCATGGGTTTACAAGGATCTGCAAGGGTCCGATTAAGTTTTGTGTGGATTAAGAACGGGAGCGACCTGCTCTTTCAGAGGCTGCCCAGCTGTGGTAATTTTTCGCGGTTCTTCCACTCTCTGGGCCAGTTTTACTTCAACTGTGAAATGGGGGTAGTCCTCTAAGGTCCCGTTTCCATTCTCTGCATTCCTCATGACGACCCAGACGAAGCTCCTACTGCCATCCCCCTAACGGATGAGGAAGGCTAAGTTACTTTCCTAAGGCCAGAGACAGTAAATGCAGCTTCCACGTTGGAACCCCGGTAGGGTGGCTCCAGTCCCCTGCTCTGAACCCCCCATCTCTACAGCCTACCCCATCACCCTAATAAGCCCTGCAAGTGCAGTGGTGATGCGTCTGCTCCGGCGTCAGACCAGCCCCGCCATGCCACTTGCAAGCTGTGGCATCCTGGGTTAGTCACTTGCGTCCCTCCAGCCCATTTCCTTATGTGAGCAATGTACACCCCAAACACTTGCCTCAGCCAAGACACTTGCCTGACCAGGAGGAAAGATGCGCGAGTCTCAAACAACTGCGTGACTTTCCGTCTGCGGGGGGCGGGGGTGGATTTTTGGGGAAAAGGGACGCGGAGCCCGAACACCGCGGCTCCAAGGTCTTCCCGCTCCTTTCTCGCCTGGTTTCCTCCATTCCCCCGCGGGGCGACCCTCGGTCTCCTGCCGTGTCCCCGCTCCCGCGCCCCCTGCCCCCAATTTTTCTTCCCCCCACGGGGCTGAAAAAAGGTCGTGGTCCCTTTAAGGCCCGCCCCTCCCTCTCCCAAAACTTCCCAGTGTCTGCTCTTTTCGATCCGGGACGGCCGGTCAGGCTCGCCGCCGAGCTGGTAGGGGCTGGGGGCGAGGGGTGCGGGAAGGTGACCGGGGCACTGGCGGGCGGCGCCGCGCGCGGCCGGGGGCCAGGGTCCGAGCAGCGGGGTGGGGGCGGGGCGGTGGCCGGGAGCGCGGGGGGTGCGGGTCACCAGGCCGGGCCGGCGGCCTGGAACGTGCGGCGCCGGGGAGACCGTTCCGCCGTGCTCCGGCCGTGCGCGCCGGCGCGAGGGGCGTCCGGGCCGGCCGCGGGGGCGGGGAGGGGAGGGGCCCTCTCTCTCCCCCTCCCCCCACCGCATTCCTCTGACGTTGGGACGGAGCGACCCCGCCCTTCGTCGCGACCGGCCCGGCCTCCTCCCGTCACGCGGGCCACGTGCTTCAGACGCGGCCCCGCCCCCGTCTCTGTTCCGTTGGCGTGGTCGGATCTTCCTGGTGTCCGGGGGAGCTGACCGAGGTCCCCAGCAAGGCCCCCTCCCCTAACTTTATTTCCCCTCACCGGCAGAGCCACCAGGCCTGTCCCCTCTTGTATTGCCATAAACCCCATTTTTTCTGATAGGGTCTCGCTCCGTCGCCCACGCTGGAGTGCAGGGGCGCGATCACGGCTCACTGCAACCTCGAAATCCGGGGCTCAAGCGAGCCTTCCGCCTTGGCCTCCCCAAGTGCTGGGATTACAGGTGTGAGCCACCACACACGGCCTCCATTTCAAACTTAGTTTCCACCCGGACCTCAACTCGAAATCCCCCATCAGCCGGGCAGAAAGGTCCTGGAGCACTTTTGGGGCGTCCGCCGCGTTTCTCACGACGCTAGCTTCGCTTTTATTTCTTTTCCCCCCTTTGGCGATATCGTCACTTGCCAATAGCTTCGCTAAGGTGTTCCCCCCCACACCCTGCGCGGGCAGCCCCATAATGTTAAATGCCGTAGGACGGGATCCCGGGTTAATCCCCGTTTGACCCCGCTGCCTGCGCGTGATAACTGGGGCGCGCTCCTCTCCACCCCCCAGGCTCCGCCAGTTGGGCTTCGCCGGAGTCTGGAGATACCCTCCGACATTCTCTTGGTGCAGTGCGGGTGGTCTTACCCCGCCCTTGAGGAAGAAAGGCCCGACGCAGGCACAGATCACAAGAACGCCTCCCCTGTGCAGGGGGCTTGCACTGTGCCAGGTGCTGTACTGGGCGCTTGGTAGGTGGCCACCCTCTCCAGGGTCGGGGCCAGGACCTCCTGTGGTGCTCAGAGGGGTCGAGCTGTCAGGTGAAAACCACTGGCCCGAGTTATGGCTTTGAAGGGAATCCTGGGGGTCTGGGATGGCAGGGACCTGTTAATTTAGATCGCACGGACAAGATGACTTGGCCCTTAGCTCCTGCAGGAGGGGTAGTGGACTATTGCAGGTGGAAGGGACTGCATGGGCACACATGGAGAGTGCGCGGAAGAGCCTTCTCCCAAGGGAAACTGAAAGGGGTTGCGGCTGAATTTAGAACTGGACAGGGTCCGAAGACAGTCGGCAGCAGCGAGTGGTTTTCTACTGAGGAAAAGGCTCAGATTTGGGATTTTAACAATTCCTCCTAGAGGTAGAAATGAACACGGTATAGTGATGGCGACAGAGATACCCTGGGAGTTCCTGTCAATCTTGGTCTAGCCTTCCGGCGCACACACAGCGGTCGCTCCATAAGGGGGCCCCGCCTCTGGGCGGTGCCTGAAAGCGTATTTGCGCATGCGTTCTCGCCTTCGCTCGTTTCGTATACTGCACCAAAGAGCGCCTACCCTGGGGCGGGGCTCCCCATTTCATCCAATCAGAGCGTATCAACAGTCCTACCATCTGGTGAGAGGGTGCGCTCCACTCTCCATTGACCAATCAGTGGAGACGCAGAAGAATGGGCATCTGTAACCACCACTGGAGAGAGACCAAAAAAGGGCGGGGCTTCCTTGTCTCCTTGCGAAGTGGCGCGGGAAGGTCGTCATTGTGACTGGTGCTGACGGATTAGCGAGGAGACCAATGAAAGTGGGAGGGAGGCGGAGATTCTTGGGAGGTTTAGAGCGCCGTTCCTATCAGGTGCTTTTAGGGAGGCCAGCAGCGCCAGAAATCCGACCTATCAAATTGGATTTTATTTTAAGGCGGCGGGGTCGACGGAAAGACTGGCAGAAAGCGACCACCTATAAGGAGTGTCTCAGACAAACAAGGGCGGGCCCTCCTGCAGAACGGCGTGGGCAATGTCCAATAAGCGCGCAAGGCGTGTGGCGGCCTACCCTCCCCCCGCGGCGGGACCAGTGGCTCCCCCTATCGGGTGGGGGCGGCGGGTGACGGGCGTGTCCCTCCCCCAATGAGAGGCGGGGGGAGGCGGGTTCTGCGCCGCCATGTCGCGGAGGCTGCTGCCCCGGGCGGAGAAGCGGCGTCGGCGGCTGGAGCAGAGGCAGCAGCCGGACGAGCAGCGGAGGCGGTCGGGAGCGATGGTGAAGATGGCGGCGGCGGGCGGCGGAGGCGGCGGTGGCCGCTACTACGGCGGCGGCAGTGAGGGCGGCCGGGCCCCTAAGCGGCTCAAGACTGACAACGCCGGCGACCAGCACGGAGGCGGCGGCGGTGGCGGTGGAGGAGCCGGGGCGGCGGGCGGCGGCGGCGGTGGGGTGAGGCCAGGGCCCTAGGCGCTGGGAAGGCCGGGAACTGGGGGACAATTTCCCAGCTTGAGGGCATTTTATTTTTTGAGGGGGGCCTCTGCGCACGCGCCCAGGCCATCGCGTCGTTGACGGTGTGGGGGAGGGGCGGCCGTTGGGCAAACGGCGGGGTTTGCGCGAGGACAGGCGCCTGCGCGTGCGCGGGGTCCGGAGCGGGGTGTGGGGGAGCGCAGAGGAAGTAGCTCGTGAGGCGAATGGCCCAGTGCGCAGGCGCCGCGGGCTGGCGTGTGGGGGCCGGGCACGCGGCCCGGCCGGTTTTTTTCCCCTTTATCATTTTCTTCGCTGGCTCCATGCGCAGGCGCAGTGTTCCCGCCCGGCCTCGTGGGCGGTTAGGGGAGCGCCTGGTGAGCGGGAACGGGTGGGCGGCGGCCTTGTTCTCTAGAGTGGGGAATTCCGTCTGATGGCAGCTTAATCTCTAAGGCCCAGCCTTGTGTCTATACAGAAATGGATGTGTTTGAGCCTAGATGCTCTCATTTTTGTAGGCATTGAAAATGGGAAGAGGACTTGTGAAATGCACTTTTAGCCTTTTAGGAGTTGAGCGAAGCCTTGAAACCATCACAAGTTTGCTTACAGTTTCCGGGGATTCACTGGGTACCGAGGATTTGATAAACCAAACTATTTCCTGGCCATGTTGGAAGCATTTCGACCCCCTGTAATCAGTCCCTCCGAAAACACCAGTCGTTGCTTTTGGAGTGGGGCCCAGTCCCCACTCTTTCCAAAATCTTGAAGTCTTACAGGGCCGCCTATTTGCAGGGTTTTCCAGGGTTTAGGGGTTACGAGTTGCTAGCGTTTTAATCTTGGCCTTGTCCCACACATTTTAAAGACATCTTAATTGAAAATCCTTAACGCTTCCTGAGGTTGGGGGAGATACTGGGATTCCCGATTTACAAAGGAGGAAATGGGCCAGGAGAGAGATGAGATGAGGTGAATTACTGTAGGTGGCACAGCTAGTGAGGGGCAGGGCTGGAGTTAGAACTCCCATTTGTGGGAGCTGCTAACCTGGCGGGAGTGCCTCACCCTGTGGTTCGCGTGGATCGCTCCTGAAATAGAATCCAATTCTACCCACCTTCCACGCACTTCTGCCCAGTGATTCTCAGACAGGGGGCCGGCCCCAGAGCCCAGGAGAGGCGGAAGAGAGTTAATCTTTCTCCTGATGACCAGAGGCTTTTGTCGGTGGGTGTAAGATACTTCTCTTAGGAAGGAGCAGTCGGTTCTTAATGGTATGGGTTGGAGTCTCTGGTCTTTCTAAAAGACTTTCCATCCGGGAGTGGGGGCTCATGCCTATAATCCCAGCACTTTGGGAGGCTGAGGCAGGCAGATTACCTGAGGTCAGGAGTTCGAGAACAGCCTGGTCAACATGGCAAAACTCCGTCTCTACTAAAAATACAAAAAAATTAGCCAGGTGTGGTGGCGAGGGCCTGTAATTCCAGCTACTCGGGAGGCTGAGGCAGGAGAATCGCTTGAACCTGGGAGGCGGAGGTTGCAGTGGACTAAGATCACGCCATAGCACTCCAGCCTGGGTGACAGAGTGAGACTCCATCTCAAAAAATAAATAAAAGACTTTTCTTGTCTGGTTTTTCTTAGTCTGACCTAGGCAGTAATTTCCAAAGCAGATTTTGGTGGGAGGGCGATTCAAGACTAGAAGGGGTCAAGACTGGCCTGGCTGCCCCAGTTTCTGGGGCATGTGTTGTTTTTTGCCCTGACTGAACCTGGGTGTGAGTGGTGGGGAACAGGTGTGCTTAGCTAGATGATGGTGGCTCAGCCAGTTAAAGGGCAAGGAATTTGGGGCACATGCAAAGGGGATGTCCTCATTCAAACTGTAGCAGATAGCTGTTAGAGCCCTTGCTGCCAGTGTATCTCCTTTTCCAGCTACTCTTTTCCCATGTTTCCTTGGTCGAGTGGACCAGTGGGAAGAGAGGGGGGTCCCTGGAAGAACGTAAGATTTGGGACTTGTGTGGCCCTCCCTCCGTTATACCTTCCTCAGAAGCTACAGCAAGAGCCAGTGGGCAAGTGATCACCCACTCAGGACCACTGTTCTGCTGACCCAGAATCCTTCTGGGCTGATTGGCTTCAATTGCTGCCCCTAGTCTTTCCTGTGCATCCTTCACGGATGACCTCCAACTGTTTTATCTGACTGGGTCTACAACAGTACAGAGGCCAGTGGGGCGTCATCTTGTACAGCAAGAAAATAATTCTTGTTTTTGCTTCCTTTCTCAGGAGAACTACGATGACCCGCACAAAACCCCTGCCTCCCCAGTTGTCCACATCAGGGGCCTGATTGACGGTGTGGTGGAAGCAGACCTTGTGGAGGCCTTGCAGGAGTTTGGACCCATCAGGTACTGGGCTCAGAGGCCAGGTGTTGGGCTTCCAAAGTTGACTCCTGGGTGTCCTTGTGTGTCCACGATTTCTGGTTGGAAATAGTGATTTTGTTGCCATCCTGGTCTAGATTCTGTGGCCGCTCTGCTTTTGGGTTGGCCATTGTACTTTGTGTCAGATTACAGCAAGTTCCATGACCCTTTTTCCTTCCTTCGTTTTTCCTCTGCCTTGTAGTTTCTAGTCAGTGTTCTCTTTTTCAGACAGAGCAAGGTCTCGCTTTGTGGCCCAGGCTGGAGTGTAGTGGTGCAGTCTCACCCAGGCTCAGGCAGTCCTTCTGCCTCGGCCTGCTGAGTAGCTGGGACTATAGGCATGCGCCACCATGCCCGGCTAATTTTTACATATATATATTTTTTGTTTGTTTGTTTGTTTTGAGACAGTCTCTTGCTCTGTCGCCCAGGCTGGAGTGCAGTGACAATCTCAGCTCACTGCAAGCTTTGTCTCGTGGGTTCACGCCATTCTCCTGCCTCAGCCTCCCGAGTAGCTGGGACCACAGGCGCTGGCCACCCCACCCGGCTAATTTTTTGTATTTTTAGTAGAGATGGGGTTTCGCTGTGTTAGCCAGGATGGTCTCAATCTCCTGACCTCGTGATCTGCCCGCCTCGGCCTCCCAAAGTGCTAGGATTACAGGCGTGAGCCACTGCGCCCGGCCTAATTTTTATATTGTTCTGTAGAGGTGAGGTTTTGCCATGTTGGCCAGGCTGGTCTCAAACTCCTAGGCCCAAGCAGTCTGCCCACCTAGCCCTCCCAAGTTTTAGGGTTACAGGCATGAGCTACTACTGCTCCTGGCCAGTGTTCTTTCATTCAGCAAGTAGTTACTGAATATTTGGTGCATGCTATATACTGCAAATACAGTAGTGAGCTGTATCTGGATGCTTCTCTTAGAAAGTTGCCCTCCTAGAGTGATTTGCACTGTCATAGTGTAAGCTCAAGAAGCCGTCTGTGGGTGGCATCTGACAGTCTGGTGAGGAGAGGTCAGGAAGGCTTCCCAGAGGGACATGATGGCTCAGCTAGACCTCTTTGGCTTTTGGTACTACTTGTGGCACAGGGTGTTCAGGTCGGGGAACCATGATAGGGTTGCAGAGGAGTTCAGAGGCCATGGAGGAGTCAGTTCTCAAAAAATCAAATGATACCCTCCTCCTGTCTACATTTTCCTGAGAGGATTGAAACCTGTGTTCTCTCTGCCAGCTATGTGGTGGTAATGCCTAAAAAGAGACAAGCACTGGTGGAGTTTGAAGATGTGTTGGGGGCTTGCAACGCAGTGAACTACGCAGCCGACAACCAAATATACATTGCTGGTCACCCAGCTTTTGTCAACTACTCTACCAGCCAGAAGATCTCCCGCCCTGGGGACTCGGATGACTCCCGGAGCGTGAACAGTGTGCTTCTCTTTACCATCCTGAACCCCATTTATTCGATCACCACGGTACGTGCCAGCAGGCATTTCTTGTGAGGTCTCCCTTCCTTTTCTCCCCTTATTCCCTCCCCCAAGCCAGACTGATCTGCCAGTGCCCCTTCATCTTGCCTGTGTTTGCTTTTGCAGGATGTTCTTTACACTATCTGTAATCCTTGTGGCCCTGTCCAGAGAATTGTCATTTTCAGGAAGAATGGAGTTCAGGCGATGGTGGAATATCCTTTGCTGGAAAACAGGTGTTCCTTAGGGTAGGGACTCTTGCAGGGCTTGACAGTGGCCATTCTTTGAGCCAGCATGTGTCTGCTGACCACGGGAGTGGCTGCCATGTGCCAGATGCCTTCACAGAGCCCAGTGACTGAGTAGGGAGGCAGTTAAAGGACCAGGCATATCGTGTGGACGTGCAGATCTTAGGGGAGAGAGCAGTGTGTTGGGAGATACAAAGGAATTTATTTTTCTTTTTGTTTTCTTTCTGTTATTTACTTATTTATTTATTGAGATGGAGTTTAGCCCTTGTTGCCTGGGCTGGAGTGCAGTGGTGCGATCTCAGCTCACTGCAACCTCTGCCTCCTGGGTTCA
Organism: Homo sapiens; assembly: GCF_000001405.40. NCBI lineage: Eukaryota > Metazoa > Chordata > Mammalia > Primates > Hominidae > Homo > Homo sapiens. The sequence goes on along the minus strand of NW_014040929.1, from coordinate 254,960 downwards.
AGCAATTCTCCTGCCTCAGCCTTCCTAGTAGGATTATAGGCGCCTGCTAATTTTTTTTATTTTTAGTAGAGATCTGGTTTCGAACTCCTGACCTCAGGCAATCCACTTGCCTCAGCCTCCCAGATTACAGGTGTGAGCCACCGCGCCTGGCTAGGAATTTATTTTTAAAGATGTTTATTCTAAGTTCAAATATGAGTGACAAAGATTTGGGGAACATAGTCTCAAGAGGTCCTGAGAAAATGTGCCCCTGGGAAAAGGAATTTATTTAAAAGGGGATATGGGGCCGGGCACAGTGGCTCATGCCTGCAATCCCAGCACTTTCGGAGGCCGAGGTGGACAGATACCTGAGGTCAGGAGTTCGAGACCAGCCTAGCCAACGTGGTGAAACCCTGTCGCTAATAATACAAAAAATAGCCAGGCATGGTGGTGAACGCCTGTAATCCCAGCTACTCTGGAGGCTGAGGCAGGAGAATCGCTTGAGCCTGGGAGGCGGAGATTGCAGTGAGCCGAGACTGTGCCACTGTATTCCATCCTGGGCAACACAGCGAGACTCCATATCCAAAAAAAAAAAAAAAAGGTGGGGCATGTGTGAAGGTTGCTGAGGAGGTGATGTCCTATGAGCAAATAGGAGCTTATACTCAAGGTGGAGGAAACAGCCTCTGCAAAGGTTGTAAAGTCAGAAGGAGCTTGTGTTGGATGGAGAAATTGAAAGACCTGAGGATTGCAAAGTGGCTGGCAAGCAGACGGGTTTGGAATAGACATTGGAAGAAGCTTTTAGGGCATCCTAGACAGCGTTGCGATGCTTGGGGCAGGGGCAGGAAAAAGCCACTGATGGACTTTCAGGGCAGAGCTGTAATCGAGTTGATGTTTCAGATTTAGTCGAAGGGTGTGAGAGGGCTGAGACGGAGAAAGTGGTGTGGCAGAAGAGGTTGCTGGTGGCCATGGGTCGGGGTGCAGATTATGAGAGAACTCTGGCCAGTGACTGCTCACCCGGGGCAGCGTTGAGTCCATCAACACCGTTTTGGTCTCTTAACCTGAGGCTAGTGGCTGGGCAGTGAGCTAATCCCAAAGCTTCCGTCTGTACCACAGTCTTGGGGTGCTACCTTGTCCTTATCACACTCTGGGGTAACTTGAAGCCCTTCTCAAAGATCTCCTGTGATGGGACTTTCCTTAACTTGACTCACATTTGACTCAGTTCAAAGTGCCCAGCGGGCCAAGGCCTCTCTCAATGGGGCTGATATCTATTCTGGCTGTTGCACTCTGAAGATCGAATACGCAAAGGTACATCTGGGAGGTGACTGACTGCCCCTTGTCAGCTTCCAGGTGAGCTGGGGCATGGCTGACCTCAAGTCTTGTCTTGTCCTGTCCTTGCAGCCTACACGCTTGAATGTGTTCAAGAATGATCAGGATACTTGGGACTACACAAACCCCAATCTCAGTGGACAAGGTAATCTTGACGACCACTTTGTTCTAAACATACCCGCCTTGCTTTCACTCGACTAGTGCACTTAATAGGCCTGGGCTCAGGGTTATGTAATGCCATTGGGCCCCCCATGGACATGGGAGGGCCTTGGGGTCAGCACTTGGACACCCTAGTGGGATGGGGGAGTGAGAGGCCTCCATGGGTCTTCACTGCTGCTTGGGGCCCTCCGATGCTGCTCAGGATACAGAGGCAAGGCAGAAGCCTGGATGGGCGGGGAGCAGGGCCTCACTGAGGATGAGGCGTGGGGGCGGCCTTAGAAACCAGCAGTGGCTCCTTTGAGAGTCTGGTGAGGGTCACTCACTCCATTCTTGCTGGACCAGGAATTGTCCTCTTGTTCTGCGCTGTTGAGAGGGTCTGATTTGGGGGAGTGACAGTGTTGGGGGGCGATGAGGTCTCCTGGGCTCTTGCAGTGAGCCTTGTGAGCAAGCTGACCCTGTGGAGGTGAGACACTCTGGATTGGACCAGGGCGGACATGCCTCACATCATTTGTAGAGGGGACGCAACATCTCTGCAGGTGGCCCAAATGGACAACTCCCTTCCTAGTGTCTGTCAAGAATGGTTTGCCTTTGGTAGCAGGGAGAGGTGGAGGATTGCCTATGAGAAACAGCGGCAGCCCCCCAACAAGACCATCCATCTCGGTGTCTGTCTTGGTCTGATACGTCGGACCAGGCCATGGGCTGAGGGAGGAGGCTCGATGCTGACATCGCACAGGCCCTGAGAGGCCAGAGCCCCCCATTCCTAGGCAGGCCTGTCTTGCTCGCCCTTGCATCTGGGAAGCAGTGGGCAGGGTGGGCTAGACTCTTCCCCAGGATCCTCACAGTGGGCCCTGTGGGCCTGGCTGCTCCCTCCAAAGGTCAGAGGCAAATTGGTGACCAAGTGAATGTACCAGAGCGGGCAATGGCATTACATGACTGCTAACAGAAACATGGCAACAACCATTTCTTCTCCAAGGAACATAAATAGAAGATGTGCAGACCGGCAGGGGCTAGTGGCAGGGGGCTGGCTGTGCATTGGTTTTGATGCCTCTCAGCTTTGGCAGCCCCAAGGCTGGGGCCCAAAAAAAAACGAGGGCTGATGAGGTGACCTGGAGTGAGGGCGGTGCTTCGCCACCCCTCAGGAACCATACTTCAGCGGCTCTGCCTCTGCACATTGCTCACCAACACACAGGGTAGAAAACCACTAGCTCTTCCTGGAGAGAACAGAACATGCAGCCTCCACCACGTCCCCAGAAACAGCCGCAGACTTGAGCTCACTACATCAAGAACACCACACCGCGCTCCAAGGAACAGCTACAAGCACAGAGACAGAGGCATACAGAGACAAAGAGAGAAAGAGACGCAACATGGCAGCAGACACTGCTTTTTTTATTAAACATTAAAAAAAAGGTCAAAATCCAAGCAAACTTGAACCCGAGAATGTACACAGAAGTAGGAAACACAGAGAACAGAGCTGTCCCAGCCAGCCAGCGAGCGATGCTCTTTTCGGAGAACGTTTCATAGACGGAAGTAGATTCCATGGGCCTCCAAGACAATAGGATCCTCTCTCCATTCCTCGCCATATGGGTTTTGTTTTTTAAGTCATTTGGTTTGGGGAGGGCCTTGTTTTTTTTCTGTTTTGATATTTTTATTTTTTCTGCAGTCACCGGCTGCCAACATAATCTGCACCAACTGGAGATCAGAAACCAAAAAAAAAAAAAAAAATTTTAACCACAACAAAAAAAAAATCAAAAAAACCAAAACAGACCTAAAACCAGACAGCCAAACAGCTCAGAGGCACACAGTTACCTGCTGCCGGGTAACCAGGCGCGCTCCCAAGGCCAAAAGCGCGAGCGTAGTGGGGCCACTGGCACACCTCATACCAGGAGACACGCACACGGAGCGCTACACAGCCAGAAGCACCGCACCACCGCACTGCAGCACATATGTGAGGAGGTGACAACATGGAGGGACACTACCCACTTCATACACCTTTATTTCCACTTTTCTGATATCTTCTGAGGACAGAACATCTGTGAGCCATTTTTGATTTAATCAAAATATTGACTTTTAAAACAATTCTTTAAAAAAATTGTAGCGGATGTGTACCGTGACTTGTATTTATGACTGTAAAACCATGTGATGCAGGGTCGCAGTGTATGTTTGATGGGACGCCATCTTTCAGAACTGTGCTAACTCACTGTTGAAGCGTCCAATGGTAAGAGAAAATACAGATTTGTTTTTTGTGACAAATGGACATTGTACTCTGTACTTCTGCTGTAAGTAGTCCTTTTCCATTTTGTAATGACTGGTAACAAAACCCAGGCCGGGTGGCAGGAAAGGGCAGTGGTTTCGAGCCCTGGGTTTTGGAGTCAGCCAGACCTGGGTTCAAATATGGCTCAGCCACTGTCTTGCTTTGTGACTTTGGGCCAAAGTGTCTTTTAACTGCTCAGTTAAAAGTTAACAACTCAGTCTTCTTATCTGTAAAATGGGGCTGAAATATCAGAACCTACCTCATAGGGTTGTTGTGAGGAATTTCAGAAGCTGTGATGTCTGTAAAGCGCTTAGCCCAGTGCCTGCCACTTAAGCGCTAAGTTAAAGGCAGTGATTACGAACTGCTGGGGTCGGGGTGGATCTGCGCCATTGCTGGGTGTGGGAATGTCGATGCCTTGTACATGATTGCTTATTTGAACTGATTCTGCTGTTGCCCTGCTTGTCAGCTACAGTCAGTCCCTCTTGGGCTGGCGGGACTGGGAGGGAGGGGGGACTGGGATTAAGAAAGAAGGGATCTAACAGAGACAGTCTGGAGCTCCTAGAACTTTGGGGGCTTTGGGGGTCAAACTTGCTTGCTTCCCTCTGGGGTTATTTTCCTCTTAATCTACTCTCCCTTCATTGGGAGTCACTTTAGAAAGCTGCTTTTGGCCCGCCATAATATATCAGCTTCTGTAGCAGCTGCACATTCCCCAGAGGGCCTGGGAGCTGGGCTTTCTCCCAGGGCCAGGGTAGGTGAGAGCACAGAATCTGGCCTTGTCCTTCACAGAACAAGGCCAGCCCTTTGGTATGAGCAGGGGAAGGAGAGTGGGCACCAGCTTTGAGGCTCGGGCTTCATGCCCGCCGTAGGTCAGATCACAAAAGGAGGCCCCACAGCCCTCGAGGAAGGGAGGGCTTGCAGTTGGCAGGAGCTGGGGGCTCAGATCAGCCTGTGCAGTCAGGAGGGAGGGAGAGACCCCAATTTCTGAGTGAGACTCCTAACTGTTTTCTCTCTCCACAGGTGACCCTGGCAGCAACCCCAACAAACGCCAGAGGCAGCCCCCTCTCCTGGGAGATCACCCCGCAGAATATGGTGAGGGCAGGGGGTTCCCCTCCGTGGACTCCCGTGGCTCATGTGCCCCTGCCCGCCGCCCGCCGTGCAAATTCTCACCCGTCCTCCCTCTCTTTCCTTCCCACCCCCCAGGAGGGCCCCACGGTGGGTACCACAGCCATTACCATGATGAGGGCTACGGGCCCCCCCCACCTCACTACGAAGGGAGAAGGATGGGTCCACCAGTGGGGGGTCACCGTCGGGGCCCAAGTCGCTACGGCCCCCAGTATGGGCACCCCCCACCCCCTCCCCCACCACCCGAGTATGGCCCTCACGCCGACAGCCCTGTGCTCATGGTCTATGGCTTGGATCAATCTAAGATGAACTGTGACCGAGTCTTCAATGTCTTCTGCTTATATGGCAATGTGGAGAAGGTGAGCTGCTGCCGGGCCCCCTGGGTTCCTCGCTGAGCCTCGTATCTTGCCAGTCAGCACGGGAAAGAACCAGGGGGGAGCCTGGTGTGGCGCTGGGCGGGCAGACGCCAATGAGTGACTCAGTGAGCTCAGGCAGCCTGCTTGCAGACGGGTTTTGTTTGGTCCTCACTGTATGTGGGTGTTGTGTTTTTGAATTACCAATGTTTAAAAAAAAGATTTTATCACATAAAAGTACTAATACCAGTACATGAACATAGAGATTTATAAAACATAAAAATGAATCCATTATAGTGAAACACCATCGTTTAAGGATTTCCTCCTGAAAACTTAAGACCTGGCAACACCGGGCCTTCTGCCTTCCCATGGGACAGTTGACTGGGGCTAGCGGTGGCTGAGTGTCTACCTGAGACCAGGCGGCATTTTGCTTAACATTAAACCCGTCTGGGTCTTGGGGGCCTTTGTGCAGCTCATGACTTGGCCCATTACTTAGAGTAGTTCGTAACACAGGTGAAGTGTTGTTAGTTACCAGGCACTGTTAAAGATGCTTTACATGTAGTGACCTGTGTAATTTCTCACATTAATCCTTAATGAGATGGACAGGGGAAGTGGAGGACGGGGCTTAAATAACGCGCCCAGGTTCACATAGCCTTTATGTGAAGCAGGACTCAGAGCCAGACTGCCTGGCTCCAGAGCCGGCACTGCTCTGTTGTAACCCAGCTGAAGGAGTATTTTACCTTGTGACTGTAGACACAGCCATCCATAGATCACACACGTCTGTGTGTAACAGACAAAATGGTGAAAATGGCTGATTTGATTTCTGATTCCTGTACAGTTTTCTGTCATGCTTCACTAAATGATTTACTGGTGGGTTATGTCCCACAGTTAAAAACATGGCCCAGGCTCTGCTTCTCACTATGGGTTGAGCACTTGGTGTGGGCCAGGCATGTTTTTCTAGTGGTCCCGATTAACTGTGAGGACATGGGAGGCCAGAGCAGGGGTTATTATCACTAACTTGGGAGGGGCAGGAGAGGGGACCCTGGCAGCTGGACAGAGGTGCTGACTGCAGCTACTCTCCCCAAGGTGAAATTCATGAAAAGCAAGCCGGGGGCCGCCATGGTGGAGATGGCTGATGGCTACGCTGTAGACCGGGCCATTACCCACCTCAACAACAACTTCATGTTTGGGCAGAAGCTGAATGTCTGGTAGGTGCTCAGGCTCGGGAGGGCAGCAGAGGTACAGGGGAGAGAAAAGGAGGGGAATGGGGCCCAGCAGAGGAGCACAGTGAGGCCGAGGTGTTGACTCACACAGAAATGGGATGTGGCAGGTGTGTTCCCAGACGTGTCTCTGACACCACAGGAGAAAGTGAGTCAGCCTTGCCTCAGGTGTAGAGCAATGCCCCAAGGCACACAGGGCAAGCTAAGCCTCTGGAGGCCACAGGGGAAAGCTTCAGGGACAACTTTGGGTATGACAAAGGCTCCCCTTTCTTCCTTGCTGCAGTGTCTCCAAGCAGCCAGCCATCATGCCTGGTCAGTCATACGGGTTGGAAGACGGGTCTTGCAGTTACAAAGACTTCAGTGAATCCCGGAACAATCGGTTCTCCACCCCAGAGCAGGCAGCCAAGAACCGCATCCAGCACCCCAGCAACGTGCTGCACTTCTTCAACGCCCCGCTGGAGGTGACCGAGGAGAACTTCTTTGAGGTGTGTGCCGTGGAGCTGCGCAGGCAGTCGGGTCCTTGCCACGGCCGTCTGAGTAGGCCATTCATTTCAGTCTTTTCTGCAAATAGCTGTTGAACTCCTGTCCTGCCTGGCCCTGGGTTGAGTGCTAGGGACACAGCAGAGGCCAGGACAGATAGGAATCTGTGCTCTCAAACTGGACAGGGTGAGAATGGCACCAAGTTTCTAGCAACACCATTTGCCGCGTTCCTTCCTTTTACATTTTTGGCAAGCAGGGCAACTGCTCGTTTGCTGGGAAAGCTGCTTCACAGGCCCAGTGATGAGGGCCCAATTTCACAAGAACCGCATTGGCGTAGGCTTCGGGTGCCATCACCCTGATACCATCAGAAGGTGGGGCCCTGTAAAGCTCAGTCAGGGGGAACTGAGGCAGCGGAAGGGAGGAGGAACTCAAGTGGATCTGGCTGTGGTCTGAAATGTTGACCTTGCATTCAGCAAACAGTGTTCAGCAAACAGCCGGGTGCAGATATCCACATAGCTGTTGAAGTTGGGAACGAAAAAGCAGCTTCCCAGTCTCAGGCAACTTAATAATTAAAGAGCATTGTTGCTGGCCTTTTTATGACACAGGGATGCCTTAGGGTATGTGATAAAATCTACAAGCCTTTTCTCCTGAAAACTTCAAGTACTGAGTCATGCAGGGCCTGGTCTGCTTGAATCCTGTGTGGCGGCCCTTTTGTTTCAGAGTTCATTTACTACCTGTTTTCTTTTGCAGATCTGCGATGAGCTGGGAGTGAAGCGGCCATCTTCTGTGAAAGTATTCTCAGGCAAAAGTGAGTCGAGTGTGCCCACCTCCTTGCCCTAATTGCATGGTGGTTGGTGGGCAGCTGCCTAGTTCCTATTGGGTGAGTCTAAAACCTTTACTTTTCCCCTTGGTTTGCAATCAGGTGAGCGCAGCTCCTCTGGACTGCTGGAGTGGGAATCCAAGAGCGATGCCCTGGAGACTCTGGGCTTCCTGAACCATTACCAGATGAAAAACCCAAGTGAGTATCTGTGTGTCCTGCAGGCATCAACCTGGTGACCTAATGGGTTGGCTGGCTTCAGGCCAGGGATGTCCTTCCTGCCCTTGAGATAGGACCCCGGGATCTTCGCACTGTTGGTGACACAGGCAGGTGGGACCTGCTCATCAGGAGAGCAGCCTGTGCTCCTCTTGGGAGAGCCAGCCTGACTGCCTGCTGCCACTCACTCTGCCAGCTTGGGAGTTGCTCAGGCTTGTCCTCCAGGGAGGTGGCATTCTCTTCTTTGCATCAGAGACTGGCTTAGGTAGGAAAGCCACTCTGTTACCTAGGAAAGAGGCAACACTATCCAGCAGGTAAAACTTGCCCACCCAGTTGCTGGGAGAGGCCCATTGCCTTGGGCTGGCGAAGGAGATAGGAATGGGATTCTCTATGGGAATGAAGGAAGAGAAGGAGAAACGCCGTGCATAATTGGTAATTGGCTCATCTTGAAGCCTCACGTTGGGCAGTCACTCCTTAGACCCCTGCCGTTGACCTGCAGAAAATGGGAGATGGGTACAAACTTGAGGGGACCTGGGTTTGGGGAGCCTCCAAAGACGGGAACCAACCAAACTTGTCTCTCCTTTGCAGATGGTCCATACCCTTACACTCTGAAGTTGTGTTTCTCCACTGCTCAGCACGCCTCCTAATTAGGTGCCTAGGAAGAGTCCCATCTGAGCAGGAAGACATTTCTCTTTCCTTTATGCCATTTTTTGTTTTTGTTATTTGCAAAAGATCTTGTATTCCTTTTTTTTTTTTTTTTTTTTTTTTTTAAATGCTAGGTTTGTAGAGGCTTACTTAACCTTAATGGAAACGCTGGAAATCTGCAGGGGGAGGGAGAGGGGAACTGTTATCTCCCAAGATTAACCTTCACTTTTAAAAAATTATTGTACATGTGATTTTTTTTTTTCCTGTTCATACATTTGTGCTGCCCATGTACTCTTGGCACATTTCAATAAAATTGTTTGGAAAATAAACACAGCACTTGCTGGGATTCCAGGATGTCTGCTTTTCTCCCTCTCTGTCCTGAAGACACAGGCAGGCCTGAGCACAGTCACAGGCCCTCTGGAGGCATACAGAGACCCAAGAGGAGCAGGGTGGGCTGCAGACTGAGAATGGTGCTAGCAATTGAGTCTTTGAGGAAAATCCATCAGGCTTAGTGGCATTCTTACTGGGCCCTGCCCGAGCAAGCTCTATCAGGCCCAGTGGGTCATCACACCTATAATTCCAGCAATCTGGGGAGGCCAAGGTGGGGCACATACTTTGAGCTCAGGAGTTGAAGACCAGCCTGGGCAGCATGGTGAAACGTCACTACAAAAAGGTGGGTTTGGTGGAACACCTGTAGTCCCAGCTACTCGGGAGGCTGAGGCAGGTGGGTCAGTTGAGCCTAGGAGGTTAACAGTGCAGTGATCACATCACTGCACTCCAACCTGGGTGACAATGAGACCCTATCTCAAAAAAAAAAAGGTTTCCAGCCTTGCCATCATGGTGAAACCCTGTCTCTACTAAAAATACAAAAATCAGCCGGGCATAGTGGCGCATGCCAGTAGTCCCAGCTACCTAGCAGGCTGAGGTGGATCACCCCAACCCTGGAGGGTGATGCTGCAGTGAACTGTGATGGGGTCATTGCACCCCAGCCTGGGCAACAGGGTGTCAAAAAAACCCAAAACCTTTGTGTTCTGTATCATTTCAGAGTGACTTGTCTTTACCCTTGCAGTATCATTGTGTGGATGTGTCATGATTTAACCTGGTCCCAAAGGGTAGTTTCCAGGTCTATTTTTGCTATTGCAAACAGCGCTGTAACACGTATCTACACAAGTATCTTGGCCAGCTTCCCTGATACTGATCAGGAGATAAATTCCTGCCAGTGGAATTGCTGGGTTAAAGGATATATATAGCTGGATGTAGTGGCCCATGCCTGTAATCCCAGCACTTTGGGAAGCCAAGGCAGGCAGATCACTTAAGGCCGGGAGTTTTGAGACCTGGGCAACATGGCAAAACCCTGTCTACAAAAAATAAGAAAGTGGGCCGGGCATGGTGGCTCACGCCTGTAATCCCAGCACTTTGGGAGGCCGAGGTGAGCGGAACACTTACGGTCAGGAGTTCGAGACCAGCCTGGCCAACATGGTGAAACCCTGTCTCTACTAAAAAAATAAAAATTAGCCGGGCATGGTGGCACGTTCCTGTAGTCACAGCTACTCAGGAGGCTGAGGCAGGAGAATCGCTGGAACCCAGGAGGCAGAGGTTGCAGTGAGCCGAGATTGTGCCATTGCACTCCAGCCTGAGTGACGAGAGTGAAACTCCGTCTCGAGAAAAAAATATATAGAAAAATGATGTGGGCATGGTGGCACACACTGTGCCTATAGTCCCAGCTACTCATGGGGGCTGAAGCAGGAGGATCACTTGAGCTGTGAGCTGTGATGGCACCACTATACTCCATCCTGGGCGAAAGGGCGAGACCATGTCTCAAAACTTAAAGGATCTATATAATTGCATCATACGGTAGATAGCTTCCCACTTGCAGATGCAAATCTGTGAAGATGCCTTGCGGTGGCGGGTACCACCCGGAAGGATCCTGGTTTAAGGATTTTGACTCCTACTGGAGGGAAGAGGTGACCTGCAGAGGAGCAGGTCACAAACCTTGAAGTTTATGCATGTGTGCTTGAGAATAGCCCACTCTGGGGAATTTACTGTGAATAAAATTTTCTTTTTTGAGATGGAGTCTTGCTCTGTCACCCAGGCTGGAGTGCAATGGCATAATCTTGGCTCACTGCAACCTCTGCCTCCTGGTTCAAGCAATTCTCCTGCCTCAGCCTCCCAAGTAGCTGGGATTACAGGCATGTGCCACCATGCCTGGCTGATTTTTGTATTTTTAGTAGAGATGGGGTTTCACCATATTGGCTAGGCTGGTCTCGAACTCCTGAGATCCACTGGCCTCGGCCTCCCAAAGTAGCTATGATACAGGCATGAGCCACTGCGCCCGGCCTTACATTTTTAACATTTAATGACATCACAAAAGCATCATTTGGCAGATGAACAAGTTTTGCTTCACTATGGGAAGTTTCAAACAATCTTTAGACAAGGAAAAACTACAGTCATCTTGCAGCCATAAATAAAATCAACTAGGGTTTATTGTTTTTAAGCCAGTCAAGGTGATAAAAAGTGAATTTTACCAGTTTGTCTCCTAGCATCCAATTTCATTTCCTGTTACCAGTTTGAGTCTCCTTCCAGAGATATTACATACATACACCATATTCTGTGCAGGTCCAGCTACACTCTTTTTTTTGAGACATTGTCTCACTCTGTCACCCAGGCTGAAGTGCTGGAGTGCAGTGGCATGAGGTCAGCTCACTGCAAACTCTGCCTCCTGGGTTGAAGCAATTCTCCTGCCTCAGCCTCCCAAGTAGCTGGGATTACAGGCACCTGCCACCACGCCCCGCTAATTTTTTTTTTTTTTTAGACAGAGTCTTGCTCTGTGGCCCAGGCTGGAGTGCAGTGGCGTGATCTCACATCAGTGCAAGCTCCGCCTCCTGGGTTCACGCCATTCTCCTGCCTCAGCCTCCCGAATAGCTGGGACTACAGGCGCCCGCCACCACGCCCGGCTAATTTTTGGTATTTTTAGTAGAGATGGGGTTTCACCGTGTTAGCCAGGATGGTCTCGATCTTCTCACCTTGTGATCCACCCGCCTTGGCCTCCCAAAGTGCTGGGATTAGAGGCATGAGCCAACACGCCTGGCTAATTTTTATATTTTTAATAGAGATTGGGTTTCACCATGTTGGCCATGCTGGTCTCAAACTCCTGACCTGAGGTGATCTGCCTGCCTGGGCCTCCTAAAGTGCTGGGATTACAGACCTGAGCCACCGCACCCAGCCCAGCTATACTTTCTTACACCAAAGGAACAAAGGATCATACTAAATGTTCTATTACATCTTCACATTTTTTTCTCACACATTTTTATTTTTGCATAGAGGTTTCAGAGTTTTCTATGGTATAAACAGTCTACTGTTGATGGGTAGTTAATGGTTCTGTCTTTCAAAAGAGCCTGCTTTTCTAGTCTGTGAAAACACACAGGAGACAGGTTCATTAAGGAAAGATACTTCCTTCAATCTCACTGGCCCAGAGACATCTGTTCACCGCCTTGCTCAATGTCTCCCCAAAAAGCATACTTAAGCAGTTTTACAGTACTTTTTTTTTTTATTTTTTTGAGATGGAGTTTCGCTCTGTCCCCAGGCTGGAGTGCAGTGGCGCCATCTCGGCTCCCTGCGAGCTCCGCCTCCGGGGTTCACGCCATTCTCCAGCCTCAGCCTCCCCAGTAGCTGGGGCTACAGACGCCCGCCACCATGCCCGCTAAGTTTTTGTATTTTTTTAGTAGGGACGGGGTTTCACTGTGTTAGCTAGGTCAGGAGGTCGATCTCCTGACCTCGTGATCTGCCCGCCACGGCCTCCCAAAGTGCTGGGATTACAGGCGTGAGCCACCGCGCCCGGCCAGCAGTTTTACAGTACTTTTTATGCCTTTTGGTAGCTGGCTTTTCCCAAGGGAATTTCGGTTTTTTTGTTTTGTTTGTTTTTTTTAAGAACATGAACTTTTTTTTCTTCTTTTTTTTTTTTTTGAGATCTTGCTCTGTCGCCCAGGCTGGGGTACAGTGGTGCCATCTCTGCTCATTGCAACCTCCGCCTCCTGGGCTCAAGCCATTCTCTTCCCGCTAGGATTACAGGTGCCGGACACCGCACCCGGCTAATTTTTGTATTTTTAGTAGAGACGGGGTTTCGCCATGTTGACCAGGCTGCTGTTGAACTCCTGACCTCAGGTGATCCGCCTGCCTCGGCCTCCCAAAGTGCTTGTATTACAGGCGTGAGCCACTGCGCCAGGCTAAGAACATGAACTCTGGTGCCAGGTAATCCTGCTTTAGCCCTTCTGAAGCCCACCGACCTTGAACCTAGTGTCTTCCCGTGCCTGGGCCAGTTTCCTCTGCATATAGTAGGAAATAGTACGACCTCCTGGTGGGAGTTCATATTATACAGTCAGCGCTTAATGTTGGCCCGTCTGTACTCATTCCTTTACCTGAGTAAACTCACAGTACTGCAAGTTTTCTTTTATTTTTAGTTAACATGATATATACATGCATGATTACAAGCTCTGCTGCAATTATGTCCTTGGACATTTCAGCTGTCGCCTATTATTCCACCATTATGAAACAGCTGTGTGATGAACTTTAGCGGGAGCTGTTTGCTTTTCTGTTTTTTTTTTTGTTTGTTTGTTTTGTTTTTTTTAAGACGGAGTGTCGCTCGGTCGCCAGGCTGGAGAGCAATGGCGCGATCTCGGCTCACTGCAAACTCCGCCTCCCAGGTTCACGCCATTGCAGGAGCTATTTTCTTTGGCCAGGTTCCCACTGGGGCAAAGGGTCCATTTCTGAGCCTGGCTCTATGTAAGGCAACCGGAAATCGACTGCCCTTAGTAAAGATGGCGGAAAGAACGGCGTCATTGCCTGTCAGGTTGCGGCATCGGTGCCCTCGCTCAACATGGCGGCCTTCTGTGCCCGCCCCCTCCGCTAACGGGCACGTTACTCCGTCCGAACGCAGTAGACGAAGGCGGCGGCGATGGCGGCGGGGATAGTGGCTTCTCGCAGACTCCGCGACCTACTGACCCGGCGTGAGTCACCTCTTGCCTTATGGGGGTGCGTCGCGCTGTCGTGCTGTTATAGCAGATGTAGGACGGGGAGGGCTATCCGGGGTCACGAAGGGCCCGAGTCCCCTAAATTCAGGGGTGCGTGTGCTCCCTTTTGAAGGACTCCCTAATTCGATAGGCCTGTGTCTTGCAGTCTGGGGTCATCAAAGGCTGTTCCTTTCTCCCCAGGACTGACAGGCTCCAACTACCCGGGACTCAGTATTAGCCTTCGCCTCACTGGCTCCTCTGCACAAGAGGAGGCTTCCGGAGTAGCCCTCGGTGAAGCCCCAGACCACAGCTATGAGTCCCTTCGTGTGACGTCTGCGCAGAAACATGTTCTGCATGTCCAGCTCAACCGGCCCAACAAGAGGAATGCCATGAACAAGGTCTTCTGGAGGTCTGACCTGCAGATCCTGGAGGCCTGCCTGCGGGGGGAGGCGGGGCTGCGGGACTGGGTGAAAGTGGAACGTTGTGGGAAGATGGACATGAGGGCAGGGTATTCCCGCCCCATTTGTAACCCTTCACTCGTTGCTTCACAGAGAGATGGTAGAGTGCTTCAACAAGATTTCGAGAGACGCTGACTGTCGGGCGGTGGTGATCTCTGGTGCAGGAAAAATGTTCACTGCAGGTACCAGACGCTCTTCACACACCCTGCCAGCCTTCCTAGCTCCTGGCAATAGACAGTGGAGCAGTGCTTCTGAATTAGGGTTTTAAGCAGCTTCTGACTTACACACTTTTTTTTTTTTTTTTTGAGACGGGGTCTTGCTCTGTTGCCACGCTGGAGTGCAGTAGCGCAATCTCAGCTCACTGCAACCTCCACCTCCCGGGTTCAAGCAATTCTTCTGTCTGGGACTACAGGCGTGGGCCACCACACCCAGCTAATTTTTGTATTTTTAGTAGAGACGGGGTTTCACCATATTGGCCAGGATGGTCTCCATCTCCTGACGTTATGATCTGCCTGCCTCAGCCTCCCAAAGTGCTGGGATTATAGGCCTGAACCATTGCTCCTGGCCCCTAACTCACACTTTTATCTGTGTGTTTTTTTTTTTTTTTTTGGAGACAATATCTTTCTCTGTCACCCAGGCTGGAGTACAGTTGCCTAATCATAAATCACTGTAACCTCAAATACCTGAGGTCAAGCGATTCTCCCACCTCAGCCTGCCAAAATGCTGGGATTACAGGCAGGTGCCACCATGGCCAGCCCTATCATTTTTTTAAAAAAAGGCCTACTTTAAAACATTCAAATATAAGTATTAGTCTGACAGAACACGATGGGATCATAGGCTCTGAAGTCTAGGTTTCCATCCTGGATCTGTGGCCATGAACAACATGCTTAACCTCTCAGCCTATAGCTGTGTCAGCATATAATATAATAACATGCTTTCGTGCAACTATTCAACTCACTAATTGATTTCCAGTTACAGGTCAGTTGGATCTTTGGATTGACCCACTGACCTTTTCTTCAGATTGGAGAATTTCCACTGGTCACAGTTACTAACTGTTTAGTCATCTCTATCCTTCTGTAAAGCCCATCCAGTGATTTATTTTGTTTTATTTTGTTTCAGACGGAGTTTTGCTTTTGTTGCAATGGTGCAATCTCAACTCACTGCAACCTCTGCTTCCTGGGTTCAAGTGATTCTCCTGCCACAGCCACCCAAGTAGCTGGGGTTACAAGTGCCCGCCACCACGCCCGGCTAATTTTTTGTGTTTCTAGTAGAGACGGAGTTTTACCATGTTGGCCAGGCTGGTCTTAAACTCCTGACCTCAGGTCATCCACCCACCTAGGGCCTCCCAAAGTGCTAGGATGATAGGCGTGAGCCACCGTGCCCAGCTACTACCCACTGATTTTAAATTTCAGATATTGTAGTTTTCTTTCTTTTTTTTTTTTTTCTGAGACAGAGTCGCTCTGTCACCCAGGCTGGAGTGCAGTGGTGCGATCTCGGCTCGCTGCAAGCTCTGCCTCCCGGGTTCAGGCCATTCTTCTGCCTCAGCCTCCCGAGTACTGGGACCACCAGTGCCTGCCACCACACCCAGCTAAGTTTTTGTGTTTTTAGTAGAAACGGGGTTTCACCGTGTTAGCCAGGATGGTCTCGATCTCCTGACCTCGTGATCTGCCCGCCTCGGCCTCCAAAAGTGCTGAGATTACAGGCGTGAGCTACCACGCCCAGCCCAGATATTGTAGTTTTCAATTCTCCAATTTCCATTTGGTTCATATTTTATTTTATTTTATTTATTCATTTATTTTGAGACAGAGTCTCGCTTTGTCACCCAGGCTGGAGTATAGTGATGCAATTTTGGCTCATTGCAACATCTGCCTCCTGGGTTGAAGCAATTCTCCTGCCTCAGCCTCCTGCATAGCTGGGATTACAGATGCCCGCCACCAGGCCTAGCTAATTTTTTTTTTTTTTTTTTTTTTTTTTGGAGAAGGAGTCTCACTCTGTTGACCAGGCTGGAGTACAGTGGTGCAGTCTGGGCTCACTGCAACCTCCACCTCCCAGATTCAAGCCATTCTCCTGCCTGAGCCTCCTGAGTACTTGTGATTACAGGCACCCGGCACCACGCCTGGCTAATTTTTATATTTTTAGTAGAGACGGGGTCTCACCATTTTGGCCAGGCGGGTCTTGAACTCCTGGCCTCCAGTGATCGGCCCCCCTCGGCCTCCCAAAGTGCTGGGATTACAGGCGTGAGCCACTGTGCCTGGTCAGTTGTATATTTTTTGTCATGCATGTTTTTCTTCCTGCCATTGAGCATAGTTATAATGACTGATTTAAAATCCTTGTCTTCTGGCCAGGTGTGGTGGCTCACGCCTGTAATCCCAGCACTTTGGGAGGTCGAGGCAGGCGGATCACGAGGTCAGGAGATCGAGACCATCCTGGCTAACATGGTGAAACCCCATCTCTACTAAAAATAAAAAAAAAGAATATTAGCCAGGCATGGTGGCGGGCACCTTTAGTCCCAGCTACTCGGGAGGCTGAGGCAGGAGAATGGCGTGAACCTGGGAGGCAGAGGTTGCAGTGAGCCGAGATGGCGCCACTGCACTCCAGCCTGGGTGACATAGCGAGACTCCCTCTAAAAACAAAATAAAAACAAAACAAAAACTCCTTATCTTCTAATCTCAACATCTGGGTCATCTTGGGGTCAGTCTCCTTATCATCTTTTCGCTTGGAAATGGCAGGCTGGGCTCAGTGGCTCATGCCTGTAATCCCAGCACTTTGGGAAGCTGAGGTGGGTGGATCACTTGAGGTCAGGAGTTCAAGACTAGCCTGGCCAACATGGTGAAACCCCGTCTGTACTAAAAATACAAAAATTTTCCCGGCGTGGTGGTGCATGCCTGTAATCCCAGCTGCTGGAGAGCCTGAGGCAGGAGAATCGCTTGAACCCAGGAGGCAGAGGTTGCAGTGAGCCTACATCACGCCATTGCACTCCAGCCTTGGTGACAAGAGCGAGACTCTGTCTCAAAAAAAAGAAAACGGCTTCACTTTCCTGTTTCTTTGTATTTTGAGTTAGTTTGGATTGTTTCTTGGATATTGGGATATAGGAATAAGATGTGGATACTCTGGATTCTATCATATAGTTCCAAAGAGTGTTGAGTTTCGTGTTTTGGTAGCTTAGTTGGAATTAGTTTTTTTGGTTTTTCTGTTTTTATTTTTATTTTTTTGTAGAGATGAGGTCTTGCTATGTTGCCCAGTCTGGTCTTCAACTCTTGAACTCAAGCGATCCTCCTGACTCGGCCTCCCAATGTGCTGGGACTACAAGCGTGAACCACTGTGCCTGGCTTCTTGCTGATTTACAGACCATACATGCACCCCCAGCAAAAGATTTAAAAACTAATCTTCAGCCAGGGCAACACACTGAGACCTTGTCTCTAACAAAAATTAGCTGGGTGTGATGAATGACCACACTCCCAGCTACTCTGGAGGCTGAGGTGGGAGGATGGCTCGAACCAGGGAGGTCAAAACTGCAGTGAGCTGTGGTCGTGCCACTGCACCCAGCCTGGGTGACAGTGCAAGAACCCATCTCAAAACAAAAACAACAACAAAAACATACATCTCCCAGCAAGAGATTAGGGCAGAGTTGATACACAGAATTCGGGACTCCTCGCTCTGGCTCTCCCCTCTTTGGAATATCCCCCCTCACTTCCCGGCAGCTTTGGTCACCTTGGACTCTATCCTGTGGCTCTTCAAGCACAATTTCAGTCTGCCCTCAGGCTGAAAGTTTTCAAAACCATTTTCAAAAACACCGAGAGAGTGTTCTGCCACTCTCCTAAGTGGTCACTCCCTCCAGAATCTGCCCAGTGCCTTCAGATAATTGTTTGTTTCTTGTCCAGCCAGCGTATGTAGTTGTCCGTGGGAGGGTTGGCCCTTTAGGACTGAACCAGAAGCAAAATATTTCATACACTGATTTCTGCACAGGGCCCAGAGCCTGGTGCTGGGAACCCAGTCTTGACTAGGACAGTCCCAGGCCCTGTTGTCATGGCGTTCCCAACTCAGTGGGGAAGACAGACAGTAAACTATTTCTTTCTGTTTTGTCCATTAACATATTCCCAGGTCCCTTTCTTTCTTTCCCTCCCCTTTCTCCCTCCCCTCCCTCCCTCTCCTCCCTTCCTCCTTCCCCTCCCTCCCTCTCCTCCCTTCCTCCTTCCCCTCCTTCCCCTCCTTCTCCCTCTCCTCCCTGTCCTCCCTCTCCATCCTTGCTGAGGGCCCTGGTCCCTCTGGCTAAGATTAGGCCTAGATATTTGACCTGCTGTAGGCAAAGCTGGGCCTTTGACCTAGACACCTTGTACCCTTGATTAGCGAGAAAGTTCAAGAGATCTAGAGTAGCCTGCTGGCTCGAGGCTTCTGAACTGGGAGCCAAAAGTAAATCATCCATATATTGAAGGACCAGAGTGCCTGGACTTGAGAAGTGGCCTAGATCTTGGGCCAGTGCCTGACCAAACAGATGAGGCCTATCCCTAAACCCTTGGGGCAAGACCGTCCACATAATTTGGGACGTGTGGTCTGTGGGATCCTCAAAGGCAAAGAGAAACTGGGAGTCAGAGTGTAGGGGAATACAGAAGAAGGCATCCTTGAGGTCTAGAACTGTGAACCATTCTGCTGCCTCTGTTATTTGAGAGAGCAGGGTATAGGTGTTGGTTACAGCTGGATATAGAGAAATTACTGCCTCATTGATGAGTCTAAGATCTTGCACTAGTCTCCACTGACCATTTAGTTTTTGTACTCCTAGAATTGGGGTGTTGTAGGGACTGCTGCATTTCCTTACTAAGCCTGGAGCTTTTAAATGTTTAACAATATTCTGTAATCGTTTATGAGCTTCAGGCTTTAAGGGATATTGCCTTTGATAAGGAAAAGCAGTGGGATCTTTTAACCTGATTTGTAATGGGCGGGCATTTTTTGCCCTTCCAAATTGTCCTTCCAATGCCCAGACTTCAGGGTTGATTCCCTCCACAAGTAGGGGGACAACAAATGGGTAACTTGTTCCCCATATTGATGTAGATAATAGCTCCAGCCTTGGCTAATATGTCCCTGCCTAATAAGGGTGTGGAACTTTCAGGCATAATAAGAAAGGCATGTGAAAAGAGCAAAGTCTCCCAATTACAACTGAGAGGTGGGAGAAATACCTGGTTACAGGCTGTCCCAGGATTCATCGGATGGTAACAGACCTTGAGGACAGTCGTCCAGGACAGGAGATTAACACTGAGAAGGCCGCGCCAGTGTCCAGGAGGAAGTCAGTTTCCTGGCCCTCAATGGTTAAACGTACCCGGGGCTCAGTGAGGGTGATGACATGAGCTGGCGCTTGCCCCGGGCACCCTCTGTCCTGTTGTTGGATCATCTGGTTGGGGGCTTCTGACCTAGGGAACCTTCGTCCGCTGGGGCAGTGCACCTTCCAGTGATTGCCTCGGCATAGTGGACATGGACGAGGGGGCAGCTTGTTTCTCATTGGACAATCTTTTTTAAAGTGTCCTAGTAAACCGCATGATAACAAGCCCTACCGGGTGATTGGCCTCTACTATCTGTCCTCTCTGAACCACTAAGGTTTGTTAGTCTGAGGGCCATAACTAAGGCTGCGGCCTTTCTCCAATCTCACTTTTCCTTTTGGGCCTGTTCCTCTTGGTCCCTATTATAGAACACTGAGGTTGCCAGGTTTTGATAATGCCTCCAAATTTTGTTCAGGGCCCAGGGCTTGCTTTTGGAGCTTTCTCCTGATATCTGCGGCTGATTGGATAATAAACTTATCTTTTAGAATCAATTGACCCTTGAGTGATTCGGGTGACCGGGGAGTATATTTTCTTAAGGCCTCCTATAGCTGCTCGAGGAAGGCAGAAGGATTTTCTTCCTTTCCCTGAGTTATGGTGGACATCATTGAATAATTCATGGGCTTTTTCTAATTCTCCTTAGTCCTTCTAGAACACAGGTCAACAGATGTTTACGACTCCAGTCCCCATGATCTAAGTCAAGGTCCCAGTGGGGATCCATACTGGGGATGGCTTGCTGACCGATAGGGAATTTGTCCCTTTCTTCAGGTGTCATTCTATCATTTACTTGATTAAGATTCCAGGTATCTCCAAACTCTCAGGCTGCAGCTAAAGCTGCATTCTTTTCATTAAAGGCCAGGGTTTGATCTAACAGTAGCATGACATCTCTCCAAGCGAGGTCGAAAGTTTGCCCTAGACCCTGTAGGGCATGTATGTACCTATCAGGATCATCTGAAAACTTCCCCAGGTCTGCCTTGATCTGCTTTAAATCAGAGATGGAGAAGGGGACATGTACCCGGGTGGGACCAAATTCCCCTCCCCCTACAGCTTGAAGGGGACATAACCAATAGCCAGGAGGGTTTTGTGGTCCTTTGGAGATTTCTTTGCATATTTCCTTCTGGGCAGGGGAGATTAGAGGAAGATTATCATTAATAGGAATGGGAGCTATAGGGAGGCTAGGATATGGTGGTAAGCTGAGAGGTCCTCCTGTGGGATGTAAATTGTAAGCTTTGCATAGTTGTGTATTCTCCCTCCATGAAAAGAAAGCTTGGACATAAGGTATTTCACTCCATTTGCCTTCCCTCTTACAGAAAAGGTCAAGCTGCAGGATAGTATTGTAATTTGTACTTCCCTCAGGTGGCCATTTTTCCCCATCAGAGAGAGAATACTGGGGCCAGGCCATAGTGCAGAAAAAAAATGAGCCTCCTCTTTTTCAGGGTTTATGGGTCAAATTGGTCCCAACGGCTTAGGATGCATTTCAAGGGTGAGCCTGTTGATGGCTGAATGTTTCCCATCTGAAAGACAAAACCACCCGCGGTTTTGGTTTGTTTTGTTTCTCCCCCTGCCCAAGAAACTGCAACAGTCCCTGTACCCTGCTGATCGGAATAGTTGTGCTCATCAACGCAGCAGCAGAAACACTAGTTTTCCTCTCAGACCACATGGAGGACCAAGGAAGGTCGGATTTAGTGGCCCTTACCGACGCATTCTTGAAAACCTGTTAGAGTTCTAAGCATTCTCCTGTTAGTATTGGGACTTTACCCCTGTCCTATAAAGATGTTATGCCCCAAAAATGAAGTGGAGGGCCATACCCTGAGGGAGGGAAGGGATCTCCAGGGTTGGAAGAGTGACACCTTTTGTCCTCACTTATATGAATAGGAAAGCTACAATTTCTGAGGCTCCCCATATCCTAGCTTCAGGAATACCTTTGTTAGGCCTGTTAGTCTGAGGAGGGATCGTAAAATTCCAGGTAGTCGCCACTATGACAGGGCTTTGGGCAAAAATTATGTCTTTCTGATTGGTGAGCCTGGGTGCCTAAAGAATGTAACAGAGTTCTAGAAGTCGTTCTTATAGGAGAAACTAGAAAAGCACCAGAGACAGCAAATTTTAGAAGCAGGACTAAACTCGGAGAAGAGAGGTGAGAGGAAGTTTGTCTGGCAGGCATTAGGACCCGGGGGCAAGAGTCAGGATAGATAGGATAGATGGGCGAGTCTCGCTTGGGCGACATGCCTTTGAGTGTTCCGCTCATGGCTGCAGGGTCAACGAACTTGTTGTCTTGTCGGGACCCTAGAGCTGCATGGCTTTCCTCTCTGTCGACCCTCGGCTCAGCCCAGAAGTACAGGAAAAGCAGAAGCTGGTTCTAGGCAAACCAACGCTCCCAACTCCAAAGAGTCGGGAGTTGTTAGAGAGCCCTTTCCCAGAAAGCCTGACACCCATGTCTTTAGTCCAGCGGCCATGCTAGTCACTTTTAACTGGCAGACAGGTGCCTGGTATTTAGCCCCCAAATTCTAAGGAAAAATAGGACAGAATAGCAAGTGAAAGGGGTCCAGTGGTACTCACTGCTTGGCGATAGGTGATAGTCTCACCGCTCAGCGATAGGCAGTGGTCTCACCGCTTGGCGATAGGTAATAGTCCCATCTGGGTCACCAAAATGTATCCGGAATTGGTGGGTTCTTGGTCTCACTGACTTCAAGAATGAAGCCGCAGAATCTCGTGGTGAGTGTTACAGTTCTTAAAGGCGGCATGTCCGCAGTTTGTTCCTTCTGATGTGTTCGGAGTTTGTTCCTTCTGATGTTTGGGTGTGTTCAGAGTTTCTTCCTTCTGGTGGGTTCGTGGTCTCGCTGGCTTCAGGAATGAAGCTGCAGACCTTCGCAGTGAGTGTTATAGCTCTTAAGGCGGTGCGTCCAGAGTGGTTCGTTCCTCCCGTCCGGAGTTGTTCATTCCTCCCAGTGGGTTCGTGGTCTTGCTGGCCTCTGGAGAGAAGTTGCAGACCTTCGCGGTGAGTGTTATGGCTCATAAAGGCAGTGTGGACCCAAAGAGTGAGCAGCAGCAAGATTTATTGCAAAGAGCAAAAGAACAGAGCTTCCATAGCATGGAAGGGGACGTGAGTGGGTTGCCACTGCTGGCTCGGACAGCCTGCTTTTATTCCCTTATCTGTCCCCACCCACATCCTGCTGGTTGGTCCGTTTTACAGAGAGCTGATTGGTCTGTTTTACAGAGAGCTGATTGGTCCATTTTGACAGGGTGCTGACTGGTGCGTTTACAATCCCTGAGCTAGACACAAAACTTCTCCAAGTCCCCACTAGATTAGCTAGACACAGAGCACTGATTGGTGCATTTACAAACCTTGAGCTAGACACAGGGTGCTGATTGGTGTATTTACAAACCTTGAGCTAGACACACAGTGCTGATTGGTGTATTTACAATCCCTTAGCTAGACATAAAGATTCTCCAAGTCCCCACCAGATTAGCTAGATACAGAGTGCTGATTGGTGCATTTACAAACCTTGAGCTAGACATAGGGTGCTGATTGGTGCATTTACAAACCTTGAGCTAGACACAGAGTGCTGATTGGTTGTTTACAATCCCTTAGCTAGACATAAAGAGTCTCCAAGTCCCCACCAGATTAGCTAGATACAGAGTGCTGATTGGTGCATTTACAAACCTTGAGCTAGACACAGGGTGCTGATTGGTGCATTTACAAACCTTGAGCTAGACACAGAGTGCTGATTGGTTGTTTACAATCCCTTAGCTAGACATAAAGTTTCTCCAAGTCCCCACCAGATGAGCTAGACACAGAGCATTGATTGGTGCATTTACAAACCTTGAGCTAGACACAGGGTGCTGATTGGTGCATTTACAAACCTTGAGCTAGAAACAGAGTGCTGATTGGTGTATTTACAATCCCTTAGCTAGACATAAACGTTCTCCAAGTCCCCACCAGATTAGCTAGATACAGAGTGCTGATTGGTGCATTTACAGTCCCTCAGCTAGACATAAATGTTCTCCAAATCCCCACTAGACTCAGGAGCTCAGCTGGCTTCACCCAGTGGATCCTGCACCAGGGCCGCAGGCGGAGCACTCCTCAGCCCTTGGGCAGTTGATGGGACCAGGCGCCGCCGAGCAGGGGGTGGCGCTCCTCGGGGAGGCTCGGGCTGTGCAGGAGCCCACGGCGGCGGGGGGAGGCTCGGGCATGGCAGGCTGCAGGTCCCAAGCCCTGCCCCACAGGGAGGCAGCTGAGGCCCGGCAAGTATTCGAGTGCAGCACCAGCGGGCCGGCACTGCTGGGGGACCCGGTGTACCCTCCGCAGCTGCTGGCCCAGGTGCTAAGCCCCTCACTGCTCAGGGCAGGTGGCGCCGGCCCACCACTCCGAGTGCGGGGTCGCCGAGCTCACACCCACCCGGAACTTGCGCTGGCCGGAGAGCACTGCGTGCAGCCTGGGTTCCCGCCCGCGCCTCTCCCTCCACACCTCCCTGCAAGCAGAGGGAGCCGGCTCCGATCTTGGCCAGCCCAGAGAGGGGCTCCCATAGTGCAGCAGCAGGCTGAAGGGCTCCTCAAGCATGGCCAGAGTGGGCTCTGAGGCCAGCGAGCAAGGGCTGCCAGCATGCTGTCACCTCTCACTTCCTTCTCTCTCTCTTTCTTTCATTTTTGAGACAGGGTCTCCCTCTGTCACCCAGGCTGGAATGCAGTGGAGCAATCTCAGCTCACTGCAGCCTCCACCTCCTGAGCTCAACCCCTCCCACCTCAGCCCCTACCACCTCCCCTCATCCTCCCACTTCAGCCCCTCAAGTAGCTGGGACCACAGGTGTGCACCACCATGCACAGCAAGTTTTTTCACTTTTTGTAGAGGCAGGGCTTGCTATGTTGCCCAGGCTGGTCTCGAACCCCTGATCTAAAGCGATCCTCCTGCCTCAGCCTCCCAAAGTGCTGGGATCACAGGCATGAGCCACCGCACCCAGCCTCCTGCTTTCTTTCTGCATCTCCCTCTGTTCCTCCTCTTGTTCATTTGTTCATTCATTTGACAAACATTCAGTGACACAGTCCAGTGCCAGAGCCCCCTCCTGGGTGCTGCAGATGTGGAAACGGGAAGCAGCCCCGATTCCTGACCCCTTGCTCTCATAGAGATCATGTCTGAGAACAGAAAAATGGGGCTTTTTTGTGGCTGTGCCGGGCCCAGGTCCTTCATCTTTCAGCTCCCAGCTGAATGTGGCCGTCTTATCTTATTTTCAGCAGCAAGACCCCGAAGGCCAGAAGGAAGAAACGGCAGGTCATGCAGTGACCCAGTGATAGAGTAGAACTACTAATTAGAGAAAGAAAAAGGTGGCCACAATTATGTAGCACTCATGGTGTGTGACGCCCCTTTCTAAGCACGTTAAACATATTAATTCTAATCACAGTCCACAAGACAGGTTCTGCTATAAGCCCCATTTAAAGGTGAAACAGATCCAGAGAGCAAGAAACTTACCCAATAATCACAGCTTGTAAGTGGCAGAGCTGGGATTTTGGAACTCATGCTGCCTGGCTATAGAGTCCTTGCTCTTAGCTGCTAAATGTCTGTCATCTGAGTAGCTGGCATGCTGGTTAAAAGTAAGGGGGATTGCCGGGCGCCGTGGCTCACACCTGTAATCCCAGCACTTTGGGAGGCTGAGGCAGGCGGATCACGAGGTCAGGAAATGGAGACTATCCTGGCTAACACAGTGAAACCCCGTCTCTACTAAAAATGTAAAAAATTAGCCGGGCATGGTGGCAGGCGCCTGTAGTCCCAGCTACTAGGGAGGCTGAGGCAGGAGAATGGCGTGAACCCAGGAGGCGGAGCTTGCAGTGAGCCGAGATCGCGCCACTACACGCCAGCCTGGGCGATAGAGTGAGACTACATCTCAAAAAAAAAAAAAAAAAAAAAAAAAGTAAGGGGGACTTTGGCCTCAGGCTGTGATCTGGATCCTATTTCCACTTGTCTTTTCACCTCTCTGTCCTGCCATTTTCTTTTCTTTTTATTTTTTATTTTTGAGCCAGGGTCTTGCTCTGTCGCCCAGGCTGGAGTGCAGTGGCGCGATCATAGCTGACCGCAGCCTGCAACTCCTGGGCTCAAACGATCCGCCCACCTCAGCCTCCGAAAGTGCTGGGATTACAGGTGACCATGCCCAGCCTCATGTGCAGCTAATTTTTTCATTGTTTGTAGAGAAGAGGTCTTGCAATGTTGCCCAGGCTGTTCTCAAAATCTTAGCCTCAAGCCATCCTCCTGCCTCTGCCTTCCAAAGTGCTGGGATTGCAGGTGTGAGCCACTACGCCCAGCCCCAAAATATACTTTTTTATTCATTTGTTTGCCTCCCCATGAGGACAGGGACTGTTGTCTGTATTGATCATTTATTGAGCAGCTCGTGTGCGCCAGGCCCTGTGCTAGGCCCAGGGGATGCAGCAGTGGACAGAAAGACAAAAACTCCTGTGTTCTCAGAGCTCACATTCTAGAAAGGGAGTCAGACCCTCAAGCAGATAAGGACCTAATTATAGGATAGCAGCTGTGCAGCCCGGAGGTAAGGCGGGGTCAGGATGCGGGGGATGGGGCCATCGTTGAGCCAGGTTGGCCAGGGAGGGCCTCTCTAGGAGGTGACCTTTGAGCTATAGCTGAAGGAAGTGAAGGAGTCAGTCTGTGGCTGTTGAAGAGGGAGGGATGGTTGTCAGCCCAAAGGTCCTTGGCTCCCTCCCTCTCCTCTGGGTCTTTACTCAAGGTCACCTTCTCAATGAGAAGATTCTGTACCACTGCACAGCCCTCAGGCAGTGATCTGGATCCTATTTCCACTTGTCTTTTCACCTCTCTGTCCTGCCATTTTCTTTTCTTTTTATTTTTTATTTTTGAGCCAGGGTCTTGCTCTGTCGCCCAGGCTGGAGTGCAGTGGTGCGATCATAGCTGACCGCAGCCTCCAACTCCTGGGCTCAAATGCACGTGCCCGCACACACACACACACACACACACACACACACAGAGTTGGAGACCAGTGTGCCCAAAGTAACAGGTTGGGAACAGTGCACACACACACACACACACACACACACACACAGAGTTGGAGGCCAGTGTGCCCAAAGTAACAGGTTGGGAACAGTGTTCATGCAGGGTAGTCATGACAAGGACGTTCCATTTTGTTCTAAGAGCCACAGGTGGGAAAAAGAGGGTCTGGGCCGGGCACGGTGGCTCACGCCTGTAATCCCAGCACTTTGGGAGGCCGAGGTGGGTGGATCACAAGGTCAGGAGTTTGAGACTAGCCTGGCCAACATGGCAAAACCCCGTCTCTACTAAAAATACAAAAATTAGCCGGGCATGGTGGTGGGCGCCTGTAATCCCAGCTACTTGGGAGGCTGAGGTAGGAGAATCACTTGAACCGGGAGGCGGAGGTTGCATTGAGCCGAGATCCTGCCACTGCACTCCAGCCTGGGCGACAAGAGCGAGACTCTGTCTGAAATAAAAAAAATAAAATAAAAAAAAAGAGGATCTGACCCAAGAAGGTGTCCACTGGCTTCCCCTGGCTGCCTGTAGGGAATAGACTGGGGACACAGGTGGAAACAGGGAGAGCAGGGTGGGCTCATGGAGAACAACTGATGCAGGAAAGGTCAGATTCAGGATCATCTTGAAGTTGGAGCCACAGAAATTGCTGCATCGTGAGATGTTTCTCATCTCAGGAAACATCACCACCATTGACTGCATTGCTCACGCTGCAGACCTTGAGTCCCAGGCTGTCTGGCATCTTGGGGAAAAGCATGGCCTCTGGAGCCAGCTGCATGGTTCCAGATTTTAAAATCCTACTTCTGATGCGGCATGGTGGCTCACACGTGTAATCCCAGTGCTTTGGGATGCCAAGGTGGGAGGATCGCTTGAGCCCAGGAGTTCAAGAGCAGCCTCGGCACAGTCCCAGCCACTCAGGAGGCTGAGGTGGGAGGATTGCTTGAACCTGGGAGTTCGAGGCTGCAGTGAGCCATGATCGTGCCACTGCACTCTAGCTGGTATAACAGAGTGAGACCCTGTCTCTAAAAACATTAATGAGTTAATTTAAATAGTTCATTACTCACTACTCACCAGCCAGTGTGACCCCCTTGGGCAAGTGCTTAACCTCTCTGTGCCTTAGTTTACCCATTGGTAACACAAATAGTAATAGGACCTAGCTGGTACGGTTGCTGTGAGGATTCTGTGAGTAATGACTCCACAAATATTAGCTTTTATTTCCTTCCCACCCAACATGCAATCAATCCCTCACCAAGTCCTGTGTGAGTTGTTTTTTTTCCGCCTTGGTGGTTTGGGGGTTCGAACCTGCTGTGCCTGGGTTCTGATCCCTGGTTGAGTCAATGGGTGGGGCCTGGGAGCCTGGATGAGCTCCATCATGCCTTCTCACCAGGTATTGACCTGATGGACATGGCTTCGGACATCCTGCAGCCCAAAGGAGATGATGTGGCCCGGATCAGCTGGTACCTCCGTGACATCATCACTCGATACCAGGAGACCTTCAACGTCATCGAGAGGGTGACTCTAGGGGTCTGGAGGGGATCTTTCTCCATACGCGCCTCCCCTGGGCCAGCCCTGACCCCACTCTTCCTGTTCCCTCTCAGTGCCCCAAGCCCGTGATTGCTGCCGTCCATGGGGGCTGCATTGGCGGAGGTGAGTCTGCGGCTATCCTCCTGCTCGGGTGCTCCCCAGGTGGGGCTGCTGCTCCGATGCCGCGGCCACTGGCATCCAGCCTCAGCTCTGTCATGGGCCAGACTGTGTCCCAAGAGGCAGCCCCACCTCCCGGGAGCCAGGGTTGGTTCTGGTGGTCATTCAGCATCCCTGGCCTCTACCTCCTAGGTGTGGACCTTGTCACCGCCTGTGACATCCGGTACTGTGCCCAGGATGCTTTCTTCCAGGTGAAGGTGAGTCATCCTCCCGAGCTCCTGCTTAGAGCTGGGCAGTGGGGTGAGGTTGGGGGGCCTGGAGTGAGCCTCGAGGGCTTCATGGAAGAGTCGGAGTTGAACCCGACAAAGTAAGACTTGCCCATAGAGGAAGTCAAGAGGTGAAGTTGTGAGTGGGTAAGGTATGAGGTGGGGTTGAGGCTGGCAGGTGTCAGAGGCAGAGATTGCTCCTGGGGCCATACTGGTGAGGGTGGGAGGCAGGATGGAGCCGGGGGATGCAGTAAAGGGGTCTCAGGTAGGGTGAGGAGGGTTCCTCTCTCACAGATGGAGCTGCCCTGAGGGAATGGGAGGGTGCATGAGTGGGAAGGTGGGCTCTATTCTAGGTTGAAGGAACTTGCCTGAGTCAAGAAGCTGCCTGGGCAATGGAATGGGACTTTGGAGGAAGTCACTGGGGTGAAGGTGGGGCGGGACTCTCCAGTAGACATGAAATTTCATGGACGTTGACATTGCGAGGGGCACAGTATTGGGCAGAAACCAAACACTGACCCGATTCCTCCCCCAGGAGGTGGACGTGGGTTTGGCTGCCGATGTAGGAACACTGCAGCGCCTGCCCAAGGTCATCGGGAACCAGAGGTGGGTGCAGGGGGTGTGGGGGTGTGGGCAGGAGACCCCAGAGCATCTCCCAGCCCCGGGGTGGCAGCCGCCTCCTGATGCACGCTTGCCTTTGCAGCCTGGTCAACGAGCTGGCCTTCACCGCCCGCAAGATGATGGCTGACGAGGCCCTGGGCAGTGGGCTGGTCAGGTAGGGCCATGGCCGTGGTAGCTCAGTGCTGGGGGCAGCCAGGCCTGGAGGGTTGGAGGCCTCTCCGGGTCCCCTTGTCTCCTCGCTCTAGAATTCCTAGTGGCATCCTTTCTTGGTGAGCTCATTTCTTTATTGTGGGGTCAGCCCCCTGCTCTGATTGGGCTGTTTCTCTGGGGTCTTGGGCCTTCCTCTGTGAGTGGCCACTTCTTCATCTGCGGGAGGCTGGAGGAGAGAGCCCTTCCCAGCCCACCCGGTCCCTGATCTCTTTCACTGCAGCCGGGTGTTCCCAGACAAAGAGGTCATGCTGGATGCTGCCTTAGCGCTGGCGGCCGAGATTTCCAGCAAGAGCCCCGTGGCGGTGCAGAGCACCAAGGTCAACCTGCTGTATTCCCGCGACCATTCGGTGGCCGAGAGCCTCAACTACGTGGTAAGGTGCACGCTCCGACCAATCACAGCCCTCCTCTAACCCCAGGCGACCAACCAGGGTGCAGGGTGCTCTCATGCTTTATCCTGATTGGCCCCTGCTAATCTCTCTCCTCGTTCTCTCTCAACACCCTCGGTACCAGGCGTCCTGGAACATGAGCATGCTGCAGACCCAAGACCTCGTGAAGTCGGTCCAGGCCACGACTGAGAACAAGGAACTGAAAACCGTCACCTTCTCCAAGCTCTGAGAGCCCTCGCGTCCCAGGCCCCAGCCAGGGGGCCGGCCTTGTCCCGCCTCATCCACAGAAAGGGAGGATGGGCGATGACAGTTGTTTCTATGCCTTCTGACCCAGTTTCCCAGTTTATAACTTTATGACAATGAGTTTCTCAAGCCCAAGGCCTTATCTTCACCCCACAAACAATAAAGCAAAGTAAAGAACCTGGTGCCCTTCTTGGATAGAGGAGAGGTGGGAGGGGCTGGGATGCACCTAGGGGCTCCAGAGACTGCAGTCCTGAAGGCTGGGGCTAGAGGTTGGATGCATGGGAATGGGTGGCATGGAGGTGATGGCCATTCAGACTGGCAGCGGGCAGGCGAGGGGCACAAGGAATTCCGGGGCGGAGGGAGTGAGCAAAAGTCGCTGGGGTCCCTCTGGGTTGCAAGGCTTCCTGGTCTCCCTGCCTGCCCTGGGGTTGAGGGTGGCGTTCGTGCCCTGCCTGGCACCTCTCACTGCACAGCACATGGGATCTGATGCTGGCGTCTCACACCTGTAATCCCAGCACTTTTGGAGGCTGACGCAGGTGGATTGCCTGAGCTCAGGAGTTTGCAACCAGCCTAGTCAACATGTTGAAACCCAGTCTCTACTAAAAATACAAAAATTAGCTAGGTGTGGTGGCAGGTGCCTCTAGTCCCAGCTACTCGGGAGGCTGAGGCAGGAGAATCCTTGAACCCAGGAGGTGAGTTTGCAGTGAGCTGAGATCATGCTGCTGCAGTCCAGCCTGGGTGACAGAGTGAGACTCTGTCTCAAAAAAAGAAAAAACAAAACAAAAAAGGACTTTGGGGTTTCTGGCCGGGTGCAGTGGCTCATGCCTGTAATTCCAGCACTTTGGGAGGTTGAGGCAGGTGGATCACTTGAGGTCAGGAGTTTGAGACCAGCCTGGCCAACATGGCAAAACCTGGTCTCTACTAAAAATACAAAAATTAGCCAGGCGTGGAGTAAGCCTGTAATCCCAGCTATTCAGAAGGCTGAGGCAGGAGAATCCCTTGAACCTGGGAGGTGGAGGTTGCAGTGAGCTGAGATGGTGCCACTGCACTGCAGCCTGGGTGATAGAGCAAGACTCTGTCTCAAAAATGAGCAAACAAAACTTTGGGATTTTTTATCCATATATCATCCCAATCTTCCGGATTTATGTTTGGAATGACTGCAAGAGACCAAGCATTAAGTTAATGACTTCTATATGCTATGTCCTGTTCTGAGCATTTATTATCTTAATGATCAAGGACTCTATGAAGTTGATACTATTATGATTATTATTATTATGACTATTATTGTTGCTATTTTTAGAGACGGACTCTTAGTCTGTCACCCAGGCTGGAGTGCAGTGGCATGATCATAGCTCACTGTAACCTTAACTCCTGGGTTCAAGCGATCCTCCTGCCTCAGCCTCTGAGTAGCTAGGAATACAGATGTGTGCTACCATGCCCAGCTAATTTTTATTTTATTTTTGTAGAGATGGGGGTCTCACTATGTTGCCCAGGCTGGTCTTGAACTCCTGGGCTCAAGCAGTCCTCCTGCTTCAGCTTCCCAAATTGCTGGGATTGTAGGCACAAGCCACCACACCCAGCCTAAGGTTGATACTACTCTTTTCTTTATTTATTTATTTTTCTGAGTGGCAGTTGGACCCACAGCTAGAACTTATTTGGCAGATTAATAACATACAGGCATTACTGGATCACAAATTCATTTTTAAAATATTTTGATAGCTATTCAATACTTGTTTCCTCTCTTATGAATTCCTTTTTTTTTTTTTTTTTTTTTGAAACAGAGTCTCCATCTGTCATCCAAGCTGGAGTGCAGTGGCGTGACCTTGGCTCACTGCACTCTCCTCCACTCAGGTTCAAGTGATTCTCCTGCCTCAGCCTCCAAGTAGATGGGATTATAGGCACCCACCACCATGCCTGGCTAATTTTTGTATTTTTAGTAGAGACTGGGATTTTGCCAGGCTGGTCTCGAACTCCTGCCCTCAGGTGATCCATCCACCTCGGCCAGTCAAAGTGCTGGGATTACAGGCATGAGCCACTGCACCCAGCCGATACTACTATATCCCCATTTTACAGATGAGCACATGGGCAAATTGAGGGTAAGGCACTGACCCATGATCATACAGCTGAGAAGTGGCAAAGGCAGGATTTGAACCTAGAACCTCTGGCTCCACACACTAGTAATCTAAACCACTCTCCCTACAATACAACATACGTGGTAAAGATGTGTGGTGGGCACGCAATCAACGTAGGTCCCTTCACAGTTGCTGGGAGAGGCAGGAATTTGCAGTTCCTCCGCGTTCTCCTCCTCCGCTGCCCACCTGTCCTGGGTCATTCCTGCAGCCTGCCCTGCCCTGCCTGGTCTCACCCTCCCTCTGCCAACAGAAGTCTGGGCAGGGTTTTATGGGCTCTGATAAGGCCCTGGCAGGGCCGAAGTTCATGAGCACTTCCTCTTTGCAGGAGGGCGTAGGGGAGGGGACCCAGGTGATTTGGGTCCTGGCTGGTCACCAGGGAAGCTGGCAAGGGAAGGGAGACTAGGGTGCGCTCTAGGAGAAGCCGACAGCCTGAGAGTCCCAGAAGAGGAGCCCTGTGGACCCTCCCCTGCCAGCCACTCCCTTACCCTGGGTATAAGAGCCACCACCGCCTGCCATCCGCCACCATCTCCCACTCCTGCAGCTCTTCTCACAGGACCAGCCACTAGCGCAGCCTCGAGCGATGGCCTATGTCCCCGCACCGGGCTACCAGCCCACCTACAACCCGGTGAGATGCCAGCTCAGGCCCCACTCCGCCCGCAGCTCCGTCCATAAGCCCTCACACCAATTTTCCCCACTCTGATCCTGGGGGGCCCCATCTGACTCTGTGGTCTGATTTACCCAAAGCTGACCCCGACCCTCGATTTACTCCTACCCTGACCTCAGGCTGTCTGTGTCCACGTCTAACTGTTGGCCCTCGTCATCTTCAACCTGGTCCTCCCCCATGGTTTCCTCTCTCCTGCTTAAGGGACTGGGGGGCTTTTCTGGGAGGGGTAAAGGCTGCAACAGGCAGATGGCTTGTGAGTCCCCTCACCAGGCCTCTTCTCCAGACGCTGCCTTACTACCAGCCCATCCCGGGCGGGCTCAACGTGGGAATGTCTGTTTACATCCAAGGAGTGGCCAGCGAGCACATGAAGCGGTAAGACCCTCCCCAAGCCAGGCCGGGCTGGCAGGGGACTTCCAACTGGGTGCTCTGGGCCTGGCTGTTGGGGGCTTTCTGCCCTTACCCCACCCTGGTGGAGAGGGGACTCTTTTTCTGCCCCACCCAATAGCCAGAGATGAATCTGGGGCAGATCAGGAGTGGGGACGTGGGGGCCAGAAGGTTCAGGGAGGGCTCACCGTGAGAGGCAGTCCCTGAGTTGGACATTAGACTGAAGCTGATGGGTGCAATGGCAGGAATTCAGATCACAGGCTCAGAGCCGGGTCCCCGAGTTAAAATCCCAGCTCTGCCACTCCCCAGCTCTGTGTTGGTGAAAGAGTGAAAGTGACTATACCTCTCTGTGCTTCATTTTCTTTTCTTTTCTGTTTTTGTTTTTTTTGTTTTTTTTTTTGTTTTGAGATGGAGTTTTGCTCTTGTCGCCCAGGCTGGAGTGCAATGGCATGATCTTGGCTCACTGCAACCTCTGTCTCCCAGGTTCAAGCGATTCTCCTGCCTCAGCCTCTTGAGTAGCTGGGATTACAGGCATGTGCCAGCACACTGGCTAATTTTTGTATTTTTAGTAGAGATGGGGTTTCACCATGTTGGTCAGGCTGGTCTCGAACTCCTGACCTCAAGTGATCCTCCCATCTCGGCCTCCCAAAGTGCTGGGATTACAGGCGTGAGCCACTGCGCCTGGCCCAGTCTTAGCTTTTTAAAAAGGGCCTTAACACGTTGATAATGATTGGCCTCATAGGACTTTTTTTTTCCTTAGAGATAGGGTCTTGCTCTGTTGCCCAAGCTGGAGTGCAGTGGCACAATATTATAGCTCACTTCGGCCTCCAACTCCTGGGCTAAAGTGATCCTCCTACCTCATCTTTCCAAGCAGATGGGACTACAGACATGTGCCACCATGCCCAACTAATTTAATTTTTAATTTTTATTTATTATTATTATTTGTTTTGTAGAGACAAAGTCTTGTTATGTTGCCCAGGCTGGTCTTGAACTCCTGTGCTCAAGCGATCCTCTAGCCTCGGCCTCCTAAAGTGCTGGGAGGATCAGGCACTGGTATGAGCCACTCTGCCCAGCCTGTTGTTTATTTATTTATTGTTTACTTCTTCACTGAGTGCCTATTCTGTGTCCTGGCACTAGGGATGGAGGAGTGAACAGGACAGAGACCCCTGCCCTCGTGGAGCTGATGTCCTAGTAGGGGAAACATAAAAAATAAGTCCAGGCCGGGCGCGGTAGCTCAGGCCTGTAATCCCAGCACTTTAGGAGGCCTAGGCAGGCAGATCACCTGAGATCGGGAGTTCAAGACCAGCCTGACCAAAATGGAGAAACCCTGTCTCTACTAAAAATACAAAATTACCAGGGCGTGGTGGCGCATGCCTGTAATCCCAGCTACTCAGGAGGCTGAGGCAGGAGAATCACTTGAACCTGGGAAGTGGAGGTTTCGGTGAGCCGAGATCGTGCCATTGCACTACAGCCTGGGCAACAAGAGTGAGACTCTGTCTCAAAAAAAAAAAAAAAAAAAGTCAAATATGTAAGATGTCAGATGATATTAAGTGCTATGAAGAAAATGAGGAGGGAAGGGAGATGGGGAGTGTATGTGCGGACAGAGGTTCCCTTTAAATTGTCCCCTTAAATAGGGTGGCCTGGCCGGGCATGGTGGCTTACGCCTGTAATCCCAGCACTTTGGGTGGCTAAGCCAGGCAGATCACCTGAGGTCAGGAGCTCGAGACTAGCCTGGCCAAAATGGCAAAATCGCATCTGGCTGGGCGTGGTGGCTCACGTCTGTAATCCCAGCACTTTGGGAGGCAGAGACGGGCGGATCACGAGGTCAGGAGATCGAGACCATCCTGGCTAACACAGTGAAACCCCGTCTCTACTAAAAATACAAAAAATTAGCTGGGCATGGTGGCGGGTGCCTGTAGTCCCAGCTACTCGGGAGGCTGAGGCAGGAGAATGGCGTGAAACCAGGAGGCGGAGCTTGCAGTGAGCCAAGATTGCGCCACTGCACTCCAGCCTGGGCGAAAGAGCGAGACTCCATCTCAAAAAAAAAAAAAAAAAAAAAAAAAAGGCGAAATCTCATCTCTGCTGAAAATACAAAATTAGCCAGGCATGGTGACAGGTGCCTGTAATCCCAGCTACTTGAGAGCCTGATGTGGGAGAATCACTTGAATCCTGAAGGCAGAGTTTGCAGTGAGCTGAGATCGCATCACTGCACTCCAGCCTAGGTGACAAAGGGAGACTGTCTCAAAAAAATTAAAAAGGTGGCCAGAGAAGGCCTGCCTGGGAAGGGAACATATCAGCAAAGAACAGAAGGAACGGAGAGAGGGATCCCCAGGGACAGCTGAGGGAAGGGCCTTCCAGGCAGAGGGAACAGCCAGTGCAAAGGCCCTGAGACAGGCCTGTCCTGGGGAGTAATTTCAAGGATGCTGGTGTGCCCAGGGGTGCGGAATATGATGCGTCATGGGTGTACACAGGGACCCTCTGGCTGCATGAGGGAAATGATCTTCAGGGCCAGGAGGGGAGCAGGGAGACCCAAAGTGCATAGGACAGGGCCTGGCCCGTGGCAGACTTGTAACAGTCATAACTGGAAGTTGGGAAGAGGGTGGAGGAGGTGGTCTAAGAAGGCAAGGTGGGCTGGGTACAGCAACTCACACCTGTAATCCCAGCACTCTGAGAGGCCGAGGTGGTAGGATTGCTTGAGCCCGGGAGTTTGAGACCAGCCTCGGCAACATAGTGAGACCCCATCTCTACAAAAAAAAAAAAAAAAAAAAAAAAAAGCCAGGCATAGTGGCATGCACCTGTAGTCCCAGCTACTAGGGAGGCTGAGGCAGGAGAATCAGTTGACCCAGGAGGTTGAGGCTGCAGTGAGCCACCATCGTGGCCACTGTACTCCAGCCTGGGGGACAGGGTGAGAACACAAGACCCTGTCTCAAGAAAAAAAATGTCAGGCACGGTGTCTCACACCTGTAATCCCAGCACTTTGGGAAGCCGAGGCAGGTGGATCACCTGAGGTCAGGAGTTTGAGATCAGCCTGGCCAACATGGTGAAACCCTGTCTCTACTAAAAATACAAAAATTAGCCGGACGTGGTGGTGCACGCCTGTAATCCCAGCTACTTGGGAGGCTGAGGCAGGAGAATCACTGGAATCCAGGAGGCGGAGGTTGCAGTGAGCTGAGATCGCGGCACTCCAACTCCAGCCTGGGCAACAGAGCAAGACTCCATCTCAAAAAAAAAAAAAAAAAAAAAAAGAAGGAAAGGCTGTGAGCGAAGGTGTGGTGGTGGGAATCTGCCCCCCTCAGAACTCAGGTCCTCTCCACGCTGTGGCCCACAGTGCCAAGGTTGCCCCTCAGAGCTGGTGCTGAGGTCCGGGCCAGGGAGGCCGAGGACAGGGCGGCAGGGAGAGGGCTTCCTGGAGGAGGCCCCCAGGCCCCGGGAGGTGGCACCAGGGGAATGAGCCCTTTGTGTCCCGCCAGGTTCTTCGTGAACTTTGTGGTTGGGCAGGATCCGGGCTCAGACGTCGCCTTCCACTTCAATCCGCGGTTTGACGGCTGGGACAAGGTGGTCTTCAACACGTTGCAGGGCGGGAAGTGGGGCAGCGAGGAGAGGAAGAGGAGCATGCCCTTCAAAAAGGGTGCCGCCTTTGAGCTGGTCTTCATAGTCCTGGCTGAGCACTACAAGGTCTGCATGCTTTCTCTCTTGTTTCCCAAGCTGGAGTGCAGTGGCGCCATCTTGGCTGCTTCCTTCCTTCCCGCCTTCCTTCCTTTTCTTTCTTTCTTTCTTTTTTTTTTTTTTTTTTTTGAGATGGAGTTTCACTCTGTTGCCCAGGCTGGAGTGCAGTGGCATGATCTCAGCTTACTGCAACCTCTGCCTGCTGGGTTCAAGAGCTTCTCCTGCCTCAGCCTCCCGAGTAGCTGGGATTATAGGCGCGTGCCACCACGCTCAGCTAATTTCTGTATTTTGAGTAGAGATGGGGTTTCACCATGTTGCCCAGGCTGGCCTCGAACTCCCGACCTCAGGTGTTCTGCCCTCCTTGGCCTCCCAAAGTGCTGGAATTACAGGCGTGAGCCACCACACCCAGCCCCTTCCTTCTTTTTCCTCTTTTTCCTTCCTCTTTCTCTGTTCTCTCCTCTTTCCTCCCCTCCTTCCTTCCCCCTTCCCTCCTCTCTTCTTCCTTCTCTCTCCTTCCCTCCTTCATTTATTTCCTTTTTCCATCCCCACTTTTTATGTCAACTTCTTTCTTTTCTTTTCCTTCTTTCCTGCCTATTTTATTTTATTTTATTATTTATTTATTTATTTATTTTTATTTATTGATCATTCTTGGGTGTTTCTCAGAGAGGGGGATGTGGCAGGGTCATAGGATAATAGTGGAGAGAAGGTCAGCAGATAAACACGTGAACAAAGGTCTCTGGTTTTCCTAGGCAGAGGGCCCTGCGGCCTTCCACAGTGTTTGTGTCCCTGGGTACTTGAGATTAGGGAGTGGTGATGACTCTTAAGGAGCATGCTGCCTTCAAGCCTCTGTTTAACAAAGCACATCCTGCACAGCCCTTAATCCATTTAACCCTGAGTTGACACACCACATGTCTCAGGGAACACAGGGTAAGGTTACAGATTAACAGCAACTCAAGGCAGAAGAATTTTTCTTAGTACAGAACAAAATGGAGTCTTCTATGTCTACTTCTTTCTACACAGACACAGTAACAATCTGATCTCTCTTTCTTTTCCCCACATTTCCCCCTTTTCTTTTCGACAAAACCGCCATCGTCATCATGGCCCATTCTTGATGGTCGCTGTCTCTTCGGAGCTGTTGGGTACACTTCCCAGACAGGGCGGCCTGGCAGAGGCGCTCCTCACTTCCCAGACGGGGCGGCCGGGCAGAGGCGCTCCTCACCTCCCAGACGAAGGGCGGCCGTTTCCTGCCTATTTTTAAAAATCCTCTTTTAGCGCTTTTCCTTAGTCCCATTACCCTACTGCTGAGAGTCTTGTAATACATTTCATGTGTATTTCCTCCTACCACTTTGTGTTTTTTGCAAAACGTGTACTTTTTGTTTTCCTCTTGAGACTGGGTCTCGCTCTGTTGCCCAGGCTGGAGTGCAGTGATGCAAACAGCTCACTACAGCCTCAACCTCCCCGGGCTCAGGTGATCCTCTCACATTAGCCTCCGGAGTAGCTGGGACTCTAGGTGCACACCACCACGCCCGGCTAATTTTTGTATATTTTTGTAAAGACGGGGTCTTGCTATGTTTCTCAAGCTGGTCTCGAACTCTTGATCTCAAATGATCCCCCACCTTGGCTTCCTAAAGTGCTGGGATTACAGGCATGAGCCACTGCGCCCGGCCAGTGAGCTGATTTTTGACCTTAGCTTGACCTCTGAGCTGTGGACTCCAAGGTTCCTGATGCTGAGGCTGTCCCAGCTCATCCCCAAGACTATCGACTCCCAATGAAAAAGATCCCTGATCCTTGCTTTTTTTTTTTTTTGAGACAGAGTCTTGCTCTGTCACCCAAGCTGGAGTGCAGCAGCGTGATCTCCACTCACTGCAACCTCCACCTCCCGGGTTCAGGCGATTCTCCTGCCTCAGCCTCCTGAGTATCTGGGATTACAGGAGCCCGCCACCATGCCTGGCTAATTTTTGTATTTTTAGTAGAGATGGGGTTTCACTATGTTGGCCAGACTGGTCTCACACTCCTGATCTCAAATGATCCACCCCCCTCAGCCTCCCAAAGTGCTGGGATTAGAGGCGTGAGCCAGGGTGCCCTGCCCTTGCTTCCTGTTTGTACCTTCCCAGGATCATGGGTGCTGACTCCTGACCTCCCATCTCTGCCCTCCAGGTGGTGGTAAATGGAAATCCCTTCTATGAGTACGGGCACCGGCTTCCCCTACAGATGGTCACCCACCTGCAAGTGGATGGGGATCTGCAACTTCAATCAATCAACTTCATCGGAGGCCAGCCCCTCCGGCCCCAGGTGTGAGGGGTCCCATCCCTTCTTGCGTCCTTTCTTTCTAAATTCAGTTCCACATTCATTTTTTTTCTTTTTTTCTTTTTTTCTTTTTTTTTTGAGACGGAGTCTCACTCTGTCGCCCAGGTTGGAGTGCAGTGGCGCGATCTTGGCTCACTGCAAGCTCCGCCTCCCAGGTTCACGCCATTCTCCTGCCTCAGCCTCCCAAATAGCTGGGACTACAGGAGCCTGCCACCACGCCCGGCTAATTTTTTTGTATTTTTAGTAGAGACAGGGTTTCACTGTGTTAGCCAAGATGGTCTCGATCTCCTTACCTCATGATCCACCCACCTCGACTTCCCAAAGTGCTGGGATTACAGGCGTGAGCCACCGCAGTTGGTCTATTTTTTCTTTTTGAGATGGAGTCTTGCTCTGTCTCCCAGGCTGGAGTACAGTGGTGTGATTCTGGCTCACTGCAACCTCTGCCTCCCAGTTTTAAGCAATTCTCCTGCCTCAGCCTCCCAAGTAGCTGGGATTACAGGCACCCACCATCACATCTGGCTAATTTTTGTATTTTTAGTAGAGACGGGGTTTCACCATGTTGGCCAGGCTGGTCTGGAACTCCTGGCCTCAAGTGATCTGCTGGCTACAGTCTCCCAGAGTGCTGGGATTACAGGTGTGAGCCATGGTGCCCAGCGCATTCCACATTCATTTATTTCCCAAGCATCTCCCTCTGCTGAGTTATGCCAAGAGCCCAGTGATGATCAAGGGATCCCACTGGGAAGACAGACCCATCACTGCAAGGGATAAAGGCCGGGATGGGGAGGCCCTGGCTGAAGGGTTGCAGTTGGGTTTGGGCCCAGACAGAGGGATCAGGGCCAGGACAGGAGGGTGGGTGGAGGCAGGCAGAGGGGTCAGGCCCAGGGCTGGAGACAGGAATGACTGAGATATCTCTGGGCCCTGACCTCACTGGGCTCACAGACATGGCATCAGAGAGTGACAGCCCAGAAATGGTCAGGTCTGTGATAGGGAGGGCACAGGCAGAGGGGCAGGGGCTGGGATATGGAGTATACAGGAGGTTTGGGAGCCTACAGGAAGGGCTTGACTAGTCATGGGTCAGGAAGGAAGTGCTTCCTGGAGTAGGAGGAAGTGTGTAAGGTGAGTCAGAAAGTGAGGATAAGGAAAGGCAAAGAACACACGATAGTGAATGAATTCCCTAGAGGTTGCTTAACACAATCATTAAAAATAAATAACATACAATTAAGTTGAGTTTATCAATTTTATTATTATTATTATTATTATTATTATTATTATTATTATTATTAATTTTTGAGGCAGGGTCTGGCTCTGTCACCCAGGCTGGAGTGTGGTGGTGCAATCACAGCCTACTGTATTCTTGACTTCCTGGGTTCAAGTGATCCTCCCACCTCAGTCTCCTGAGTAGCTGGGACTACAGGCACGCACCACCAGCCCCAGCTAGTTTTTAAATTTTTTGTAAAGACAGAGGGGAGGAATTTTCCTATGTTGTCCAGGCTGGTCTTGAACTCCTGACCTCAGGTGATCCACCCACCTCAGCCTCCCAAAGTCCTGAGATTACAGGCGTGAGCCACAGCCCCCGGCTTATAAAGCTACGTTTATTTGTTTGTTTGTTTTTTGTTTTTTGTTTTTTTTTTAGATGGAGTCTTGCTCTGTGGCCCAGGTTGGAGTGCAGTGGCATGATCTCAGCTCACTGCACCCTCTGCCTCCCAGGTTTAAGGAATTCTTCCTCAGCCTCCCAAGTAGCTGTGATTACAGGCACCTGCCACCACGCCCGGCTATATAAAGCTACTTTTAAAAGGCCTTCAGAATAGCTGGCTGAGAATAGAAGTCAAGGCAGAATGGAGTTAATTACAAGGAGGAGAAAAGAGAAGGTAACAGAGAGAAAGAGAGAGAGTAAAAGTTAAAGGTGTTAGACTTGGGAGGGTGAGGCGAGCGGATCACCTGAGGTCGGGAGTTTGAGACCAGCCTGACCAACATGGAGAAACCCCATCTCTATTAAAAATACAAAATTAGCTGGGCGTGGTGGCGCATGCTTGTAATCCCAGCTACACCGGAGGCTGAGGCAGGAGAATCACTTGAACCCAGGAGGCAGAGGTTGAGGTGAGCAGAGATCGTGCCACTGCACGGCACCCTGGGCAACAAGAGCGAAATTCCATCTCAAATAAATAAATAAAAGTGTTTGGCAGAAGGAAGCCCCTGCGCTGAGGTGTGGCCAAGACAGAGAGAGAGGCAGAGACACAGGGACAGAGGCAGAAACTGAGATCAAGATCAGCGAGTGAGGGCCCCGGGACAGCAGGAAGACAGCAAGGGGAAGGGCACAGAGAACGAAATGGACCAAGCATTGTCCTAAAGCTTTGGGGTGACTCACTGGGCATCAGCGATCCCAGAACATGGGGTGCCCCTCTCCGTGAATCTGTGATCGGGGTGCCACCCTTTGATGCCAGAGTTCTCTGGCATAGTGGTGGTGGTGGTGGGCCACCCCAGGGCAGGCACTCTCGACATCTTTCAGTCGCAAATCTGGGGACCCTCTCATAACCGCTTTCTCTTTCTGTGCCCACAGGGACCCCCGATGATGCCACCTTACCCTGTAAGTACTTGCTGATAGGTGAGGGTCTTCCTCCCTAGTGGGGTCCCTCAGCCCCTCTCACCCTTCCTGCCTTCTGTCCATCGTTCAGGGTCCCGGACATTGCCATCAACAGCTGAACAGCCTGCCCGTGAGTGGGAGGGCTGGGAGGGCCCCGGGTGAGGAGTGGGAATGGTGAGAATTGGGGTAGGGGGAGCTAAGAGGGGTTGCAGCCCAAGGTGTACTAACCCAGCACCTAGAGAAACGCCGGAGTCTAATGGGTGTGTCATAGATATCTGTCGACTCTTGGAGAATAATATCGCTTCTTCCTCACTTCACAGACCATGGAAGGACCCCCAACCTTCAACCCGGTATGGCTTGGGGAAACAGAGATGGATGGTGGGGAGGGGGCACGGATCTCCAGGGAATCTGAGACAGCCAGAAAGGGAGTGGGCTGAGGGTTTTGGGGTGGGAGGTAGGGGAAGGGTAGATAGAGTTCGTGGTCAGGTTTAGGGAGCAGAAGGAATTGGGGATGTTTTCCAGGAGGAGTGGGACCTCTCAGAAAATTTGTTCTTGGGCTGGACATGGTGGCTCACGCCTGTAATCCCAGCACTTTGGGATGCCAAGGCGGACAGATCACGAGGTCAGGAGATCGATCGAGACCATCCTGGCCAGCATAGTGAAACTCTGTCTCTACTAAAAATACAAAAATTAGCTGGGCATGGTGGCGCGCGCCTGTAATCCCAGCTACTCAGGAAGCTGAGGCAGGAGAATCGCTTGAACCAGGGAGTCGGAGGTTGCAGTGAGCCGGGATCGTGCCACAGTACTCCAACCTGGTGACAGAACGAGACTCCATCTCAAAAAAAAAAAAAAAAAAGAAAAAGAAAATTTATTCTTGGCCAGACACGGTGGCTCATGCCTATAATCCCAGCCCTTTGGGAGGCCAAGGCAGGTGGATCACTTGAGGTCAAGAGTTCCAGATCAGCCTGGTCAACATGATGAATCCCCGTCTCTACTAAAATGACAAAAGTTAGCCAGGTGTGGTGGCGCACACCTGTAATCCCAGCTACTAGGAAGGCTGAGGCAGCAGAATTGCTTGAACCTAGGAGGCAGAGGTTGCAGTGAGCTGAGATTATGCCACTACACTCCAGCCTGGGCGTCAGAGGGAGACTCTGCCTAAAAAAAAAAACAAAATTTGTTCCTTTGTTCCTGCAAGGCTTGGCGTGGTGGCTCACGCCTGTAATCCCAGCACTTCGGGAGGCTGAGAT
This sequence comes from Homo sapiens, assembly GCF_000001405.40. Taxonomy (NCBI): domain Eukaryota; kingdom Metazoa; phylum Chordata; class Mammalia; order Primates; family Hominidae; genus Homo; species Homo sapiens. The sequence continues at coordinate 212,289 of NW_014040929.1, read as the reverse complement.
GGGAGGATTGCTTGAGCCCAGCAGTTTGAGGCTGCAGTGAGGCTTGATCATGCCACTGCACTCCAGCCTGGGTGACAGAGTAAGACCCCATCTCTTATAAGAAAAAAAGACAGGAAAGAAAAGAAAAGAAAAAGAAAATTTCTTCCCACATCTGGCTCTGCTAAGCTGAGAGAGAATGGGACCCCCCGTTCTCTTCCCACAGCCTGTGCCATATTTCGGGAGGCTGCAAGGAGGGCTCACAGCTCGAAGAACCATCATCATCAAGGGCTATGTGCCTCCCACAGGCAAGAGGTATAACGTAAACTAGGTGGGAACCCCCAGCCCCCTCCTCCCTCAGACCCAACAATCTAGACCCTCTGTCCCCTCCTCCTTTAGGGATTCAGAGGTCCAGCCCACTGGCCTCTTCCCACTGGACTCCATCTGACTCCCCCATCCCTCTCTGTCCCCAGCTTTGCTATCAACTTCAAGGTGGGCTCCTCAGGGGACATAGCTCTGCACATTAATCCCCGCATGGGCAACGGTACCGTGGTCCGGAACAGCCTTCTGAATGGCTCGTGGGGATCCGAGGAGAAGAAGATCACCCACAACCCATTTGGTCCCGGACAGTTCTTTGATGTGAGTCTGAGCTCTCTTTTCCCACTTCCTTCCAGGGCCTCAGTCCTGGCCCTGGCCTCATGCCCACCCTTCTCCCTGCAGCTGTCCATTCGCTGTGGCTTGGATCGCTTCAAGGTTTACGCCAATGGCCAGCACCTCTTTGACTTTGCCCATCGCCTCTCGGCCTTCCAGAGGGTGGACACATTGGAAATCCAGGGTGATGTCACCTTGTCCTATGTCCAGATCTAATCTATTCCTGGGGCCATAACTCATGGGAAAACAGAATTATCCCCTAGGACTCCTTTCTAAGCCCCTAATAAAATGTCTGAGGGTGTCTCATGAGTGTGTGTCTCCATCTGCTCCCCGGCTACTCTTCCCTTCCTTGGTTCAGTCATGCACTTCATCTATCCTTCATCCATCCAGTCATCTGACCATCCATCCTCCTGTCATCATAAATCTGGTTATGCCCCAAGCACTGATTTAGGGCTCATTCACTTCTCACAGCAACCCCAAGAGGTAGAAACAATTATTATCATCCCTCTGTAACAGATGAGGAAACAAAGGAAAATAAAACAAATTGCCCAAATTATACATTGCATAAATGGCAGAAGGAGGATTCAAATCCAGCTGATCTGGCTCCCAAGGATCTGCACACTTAACCACTATACAGCCTGTCGTTCCATCCATCCATGCATCCATCTCTCCACTCGTGTATCCCAACATCCATCAATCTCTCCATGTATCCAACCAAAAGTCCATCCAACCATCCATCAATCAAACATCCAACCATCTAGACCTCATCAATCCATCCATTGAGCTGATTGTTCAACCATCCTTTCATCCAACCCTTTATCCATCTACCCATCCATTTACCTCTGCACCCATCATCTCATCGTCAATCTCTCCAAACATCCAGTCAACCATATGTTCACCCATTCATCCAAACATGCAACTATTCATCTACTCACCAGTCTGTCTAGCTCTATCCAGCTGTTTATCCATCCATTCTTTCATTCAACCTTTTATCCATCACCCATGCATCTGATCATCCATCATCTTCTCCATCCATCCAAACATCTAACCATATACCAGTCTATCTGTCTATTCATTCAGCCATCCTTACGAAGTCTAACTTTCGTCCATCCATTCATTTATTCATCCCTCCATTTGTCCATGTAATTCTCTGCTTTCCATCACAGTCATCCATTTGTCCTCCATATGCCCATTCATCCCTCCATTCAGCAATTCATCACTTTTCCATCTCTTTCTATCCAATTATCCATTCATCTCTTCATTATCTATTTTTTTCCAACCCTTTTCCAACTCAAGCTGGAAAGTTATCCATTCATTTATATTTTCTTCTCTCCATCTGTCCACCCAACCATGCTTTCATCAAATCACTCTTTTGCTGATTTCATCATTCATTGATTTCTTGTTTTTATTTTTATTTATTTTTTTTTTGAGACAGAGTTTTGCTCTTGTCATCCAGGCTGGAGTGCAATGGTGCTGTCTCAGGTCACTGCAACTGCCATCTCCCGTTCAAGCAATTCTCCTGCCTCAGCCTCCTGAGTAGCTGGAATTACAGGCACCCACCACCACGCCCAGCTAATTTTTGTATTTTTAGTAGAGACAGGGTTTTGCCATGTTGGCCAGGCTGGTCTTGAACTCCTGACCTCAGGTGGTGCGCCTGCCTCCGCCTCCCAAAGTGCTGGGATTACAGGCGTGGGCCACCGTGCCTGGCCCATTCATTGATTTCTTTCTTTTTTTTCTTTCTTTTTTTGAGACGGAGTCTTGCTCTGTCGCCAGGCTGGAGTGCAGTGGTGCCATCTCAGCTCACTGCAACCTCCGCCTCATGGGTTCAAGTGATTCTCCTGCTTCAGCCTCCTGAGTAGCTGGGGCTACAGGCATGCGCCACCATGCCCAGCTAATTTTTGTATTTTTAGTAGAAACAGGGTTTCACCATGTTGGCCAGGATGGTCTCAATCTCTTGACTCGTGATACACCCACCTTGGCCTCCCAAAGTGCTGGGATTACAGGCGTGAGCCACTGCCCCCAGCTGATTTCTTTACATTTTCATTCATCCATCTATTCTTTATTCACTCTCGTGTTTACTTATTCACCAGTCACTGACTCATCCACTTTCAAATTAGCTGGGTTGGCTTTCTGATGTAATGGGTTAGCAAGCTTCAGGACAAACCATGAAGTGACGAATTAAACCCTCTATATTATTAATTGGATAAAATGCTGTAAAACCGGTTATTAGCATGACTCAAACTAAGTTTAAATGTTTGCATGTCTAAAGCAACTTTCTGGAGTGATGGATATGTTCCATACCCTAGGTCACACAGCTCTGTGCATTTGTTAGAACTCATTGGCTGTATATTTTATTTTATTAAATTCTTTTTATTTTTGTTTTTATTGAGACAGGATCTCACTCTATTGCCCAGGCTGGAGTGCAGTGGTGTGATCACAGCTCATTGCAGGCTCAACCTCTGGGACTCAAGTGATCCTCCCACTCCAGCCTCCCAGGTAGCTGGGACCACAGGTGTGCACCACCATGCCCAGCTAATTAAAAATATATATATTTATAAAGACGGGGGTCTCCTTATGTTGCTCAGGCTGATCTCGACTCCCTGGGCTCAAGCAATGCTCCTGCCCTAGCCGCCCAAAGTGTCGGGATTACCGGCGTGAGTCGCTGTGCCCAGCCAACTGTACATTTTAGATTTGTGCATTTCACCAATATAAACAAAGAATCTTTCCGCAAAGCTTACCACAAGGAAAGAATCATAAACAAATATTGTACTCTAGCTAATGATGTACTTCTGAAATGTTTAGGGGTGACAAATACTGATGTTTACAATTTACTTCGAATGGATAAGTAAATAAAATGATGGCTGGGTGCGATGGCATGAGCCTGTAATCCCAGCACTTTGGGAGACGAGGTGGGAAGATTGCTTGAGCCCAGGAGTTCAAGACCAGCCTGGGCAACATGGCGAGACCCTGTCTCTACAAAAAATAAAAAAGTAAGCCAGATGTAGCAAACATCTGTAGTTCCAGCTGCTAGGGAGGCTGAGGCAGGAGGTTGGCTTGTGCCCAGGAGTTCAACGCTGCCGTGAACCATAGTCAGGCCACTGCACTCTAGTCTGGACAACAGAGCAAAACTCTGTTTCTAAAAAAATACAAAATAGCTCCCTCCCCCTCCCCCTCCCCCTCTCCCTCTCCTCTTTCCACGGTCTCCCTCTGGACTGTGCTGCTGCCATCTCGGCTCACTGCAACCTCCCTGCCTGATTCTCCTGCCTCAGCCTGCCGAGTGCCTGCGATTGCAGGCGCGCGCCGCCACGCCTGACTGGTTTTCGTATTTTTTTGGTGGAGACGGGGTTTCGCTGTGTTGGCCGGGCTGGTCTCCAGCTCCTAACCGCGAGTGATCCGCCAGCCTCGGCCTCCCGAGGTGCCGGGATTGCAGACGGAGTCTCGTTAACTCAGTGCTCAATGGTGCCCAGGCTGGAGTGCAGTGGCGTGATCTCAGCTACAACCTCCACCTCCCAGCCGCCTGCCTTGGCCTCCCAAAGTGCCAAGAGTGCAGCCTCTGCCCGGCCGCTACCCCGTCTGGGAAGTGAGGTGCGTCTCTGCCTGGCCGCCCATCATCTGGGATGTGAGGAGCCCCTCTGCCTGGCTGCCCAGTCTGGAAAGTGAGGAGCGTCTCTGCCCGGCCGCCATCTCACCTAGGAAGTGAGGAGCGCCTCTTCCCGGCCACCATCCCATCTAGGAAGTGAGGAGCGTCTCTGCCCGGCCGCCCATCGTCTGAGATGTGGGGAGCGCCTCTGCCCCGCCGCCCCGTCTGGGAGGTGAGGAGCGTCTCTGCCCGGCCGCCCCGTCTGAGAAGGGAGGAGACCCTCCGCCTGGCAACCGCCCCATCTGAGAAGTGAGGAGCCCCTCCGCCCGGCTGCCACCCTGTCTGGGAAGTGAGGAGCGTCTCCGCCCGGCAGCCACCCCGTCCGGAAGGGAGGTGGGGGGGTCAGCCCCCCGCCCGGCCAGCCGCCCCGGCCAGCCACCCCGTCTGGGAGGTGAGGGGCGCCTCTGCCCGGCCGCCCCTACTGGGAAGTGAGGAGCCCCTCTGCCCGGCCAGCCGCCCCGTCCGGGAGGGAGGTGGGGGAGTCAGCCCCCTGCCCAGCCAGCCGCCCCGTCCGGGAGGGAGGTGGGGGGGGTCAGCCCCCCGCCAGGCGAGACGCCCCGTCCGGGAGGGAGGTGGGGGGTCAGCCCCCTGCCCGGCCAGCCGCCCGGTCCGGGAGGTGAGGGGCGCCTCTGCCCGGCCGCCCCTACTGGGAAGTGAGGAGCCCCTCTGCCCGGCCACCACCCCGTCTGGGAGGTGTACCCAACAGCTCATTGAGAACGGGCCATGATGACAATGGCAGTTTTGTGGAATAGAAAAGGGGGAAAGGTGGGGAAAAGATTGAGAAATCGGATGGTTGCTGTGTCTGTGTAGAAAGAAGTAGACATGGGAGACTTTTCATTTTGTTCTGTACTAAGAAAAATTCTTCTGCCTTGGGATCCTGTTGATCTATGACCTTACCCCCAACCCTGTGCTCTCTGAAACATGTGCTGTGTCCACTCAGGGTTAAATGGATTAAGGGCGGTGCAAGATGTGCTTTGTTAAACAGATGCTTGAAGGCAGCATGCTCGTTAAGAGTCATCACCATTCCCTAATCTCAAGTACCCAGGGACACACACACTCTGCCTAGGAAAACCAGAGACCTTTGTTCACTTGTTTATCTGCTGACCTTCCCTCCACTATTGTCCTGTGACCCTGCCAAATCCCCCCTCTGCGAGAAACACCCAAGAATGATCAATAAAAAATAAATAAAAAAATACAAAAATACAAAATATTAAAATAAAATAAAGAAATAGTGCTCGCTTCAGCAGCACATATACTAAAATCTGGAATGATGCAGAGAAGATTAGCATGGCCCCTGCGCAAGGATGACATGCAAATTTGTGAAGTGTTCCATATTTTTTGGCCAGGTGTGGTGGCTCACGCATGTAATCCCAACACTTTGGGAGGCCGAGGCAGGCGAATCACAAGGTCAGGAATTTTTGAGACTAGCCTGGCCAACGTGGTGAAACTCTGTCTCTACCAAAAATACAAAAAATTAGCCGGGCATAGTGGTGGGTGCCTGTAATCCCAGCTACTCGGGAGGCTGGGGCAGGAGAATCACTTGAACCTGGGAGGCAGAGGTTGCAGTGAGCCGAGATCGCGCCACTGCACTCCAGCCTGGCAACAGAGTGAGACTCCTCTCAAAAAAAAAAAAAAAAAGAAGAAGAAGAAAAGAAAAAAAGAAGATGGTGATGGATGGATAGAAGGGTGGATAGATGGATCTATGTGTGATAAAGCAAGTTGAGTAAAATGTTATATAGAATCTGGTTAGGGTATATGAGGTATTCATAGAATAATTCTTTTAACTTTTCTGCATGTCTGAAAAAATTCATAATAAAATGTTGGGGGAAACCTTTGCATACAAACTTTGCAAACATTGTATCATACAATGATATGAACTGTAAATTTTTTAGGAGTTAGAATGGTAATGAGGTTTTGTTTAAAAAGAGAGCCTGCCAGGCGTGGTGGCAGATGCCTGTAATCCTAGCTACTTGGGAGGCTAAGGTGGGAAGACTGTTTGAACCTGGGAGTTTGAGACCAGCCTGGGCAGCATAGTGAGACCCCATCTCAAAAATAAAAATTAAAAAATAAATATCATTTAGAATTATACACATATTTATGGATAAGATTATATAACACCTTTTAAAAATCCAATTTAAAATGGGCAGAAAATTTCGATAAACATTTCTGCAAAGAAGATATATAAACGGCAACCCATGTCATTAGGGAAATGCAAATCAAAACCACATGACATATCTCTTCACCAAGTGGTGAAGCCAACCTATTAGGATGGCTATAATAAAAAAGACAGATAGGTCAGGTGTGGTGGCTCATGCCTGTAATCCCAGCACTTTGGGAGGCCGGGGTGGGAGGATCACTTGAGGCTAAGAGTTCAGGACCAGCCTGGGCAACATAGCAAGAACCTGTCTCTACAAAAAATTTTTAAAAATTAGCCAAGCATGGGGACGCACACCTATAGTTCCAACTAATTGGGAGGCCTGAGGTAGGAGAATTGCTTGAGCCCAGGAGGTGGAGGCTGCAGTGAGCCATGATTTCACCACTGCACTCCAGCCTACACAACAGAACAAGACCCTGTCTCAAAAAAAAAAAAAAGACAATAACAAGTGTTGGAGAGAACATGGAGAAATAGGAACACATATGTTGCTGATGGTAATGTAAAATGTTACAGTTACTTTGGAAAATGGTTTGGCAGTTCTTTGAAACGGAACTTAAAAGAGTCATGTGACCCAGGAATTCTTTTTTTTTTTTTCTTTTTTGAGATGGAGTTTCGCTCTTGATGCCCAGACTGGAGTGCAGTGGTGCGATCTCGGCTCGCTGAAACCTCCACCTCCTGGGTTCAAGCGATTCTCCTGCCTCAGCCTCCCAAGTAGCTGGGATTACAGGCATGCACCACCACGCCCGGTTAATTTTGTATTTTTAGTAGAGATGGGGCTTTTCCATGTTGATCAGGCTGGTCTCGAACTCCTGACCTCAGGTGATCCATCTGCCTTGGCCTCCCAAAGTGGTGGAATTACAGGCATGAGCCACAGCACCTGGCCTGACCCAGAAATTCTCCTAGGTACTTACCCAAGAGACATGAAAACATGTTCACACAATAGGTTCATAGCAGCATTATTCATAATAGCCAAGATGTAGGAACAACCCAGATATCCATTATTCACCATGATGAATGGGTAAACGCGTATATTCGATCCACACATTGGAACAGCATTCAGCCATGAAAAGGAATGAAGTGCTGATGCATGCTATGACATGGACAAACCCTGAAAACATGATGCTCCGTGGAAGAAGCCAGATATACAGGGCCACATATTGTATGATTCCACGTGTGGAAAACAAGCAGATTCATAAATCCATACAGCTGGAAAGTAGGTTAGTGATTGCCAGGTGCTGGGGGAGGGGCAAGTTGGGGAGTGACTGCTTATGGGTATGGGGTTTCTTTTAGTTGTTCTTTTTTGTTTTGTTTTGTTTCTGAAACAGGGTTTCACTCTGTTGCTCAAGCTGGAGTGCAGTGGAGCGATCACGGCTCTCTGCAGCCTCGACCTCTCCAGCTCAAGCCATCCTCCTAGCTCAGCCTCCCGAGTAACTGGGACCACAGGTGTGTACCACCATGCCCAGCTAAAATTATTTTTTGTAGAGATGAGGTCTCCCTATATTTCCCAGGTTTTTTTTTTTTTTTTTTTTTTTTTTTTTTGACACAGAGCTTTGCTCTGTCACCCAGGCTGGAGTGCAATGGTGCTATCTGCTCACTGCAGCCTCCGCCTACCGGGTTCAAGCAATTCTCCTGCCTCAGCCTCCCAAGTAGCTGGGATTACAGGTGCGTGCCACCACGCCTGGCTAATTTTTTGTATTTTGAGTAGAGATGTGGTTTTGCCATGTTGGCCAGGCTAGTCTCGAGCTCCTGAGCTCAAGTGATCCGCCCATCTCAGCCTCCCAAAGTGCTGAGATTACAAGTGTGAGCCACAGCGCCCGGCCTCAGGCTGGTCTTGAACTCCTGGGCTCAATCAATCCTTCCGCCTCAGGCTCCCAAAGTGCTGGGATTACATCTGTGAGCCAAGGTCTTTTGAGATGATAAAAATGTTCTAAAATTAGATTGTGTTGATGGATGCACAACCTTGTGAATATACTGAAAAACATTGACTTGTATACTTTGAATGGGTGACTTGTATAGCATATGAGTTATATGTCAATAGAGCTGTTACAGAAAGATCCAGGAGGATGGGGAGGAGAGAAGGGAAGCTGAATCATAAATTCTAAATTTCTTTGAAGACAAACTTAATAAAGAAGGATTTAGGTTGGGCACCATGGCTCACACCTGTAATCCCAGCACTCTGGGAAGCCTCGGTGGGAGGATCGCTTGAGCTCAGGAGTTTGAGTCCAGGAGTTCAAGACCAGCCTGGGCAACATAGCAAGACCCTGGCTCTACAAACACCCGCCCCCTCAAAAAAAATTAGCCTGGCACCATGGCACGTGCCTGTAGTCTCAGCTACTTGGGGGGCTGAGGTGGGAGGATGGCTTCAGCCTGGGAGGTTGAGGCTGCAGTAAGCCCTTATCCACAACTCCACTCAGCCTGGGCAACAGAGCAAGACCCTGCCTCAACAAAAAAAATTTTTTATTTAAAAATTTTTGATGAACTGTTACCGATGGAGGGTGTCCAGGTGCTTGGTCTCTTGAATGAAGAATTGGGCAAAACGCACAAAGCAAGGAAATAATGAAGCAACAAAGGCAGAGATTTATTGAAAATAAAAATACACCCCACAGTGTGGGTGCGGCGGAGCATAGGGGCTCAAGGGCTGGGTTACATAATTTTTTGGCATTTAAATACCTTCTAGAGGTTTCCATTGGTTACTTGCTGTACGCCCTATGTAAATGGAGAGGATGTTTCCTGTCATAGCTGAAGTGTGAATCAGCCTTATGTTCCCTGCCTCCAGACCCTATTTTCCTGCCTCAGAACCATTTGAGAATAAGTCGCAAACATGCTGCACCACCAAATACCTAACTCTATTTTCCACAAACAGGGACAAGTTCCCACATGTACACTGTCAGTCAACGGTGAAATTCAGGACATTAACACGGCTGGATCGCTACTGTCTAATCCGAAGACCCAACCACATTCACCACTTGTGCCAATAATGTGTGTTCATTTCACTGTATGTTTTGAAATGTATACCAGATGCATATATTATCGTTATGAAAAAACTGATATTTTAAAAACACTCGACACAGCCAAATGAAATAAGAGCGAACTCATTCAAGCAGGAGCCCCGGAGGACTGGGAGAAACCGGCCTCTCACAGGCCTCCTCACCAGAGCTGGGCTCGCTCCTGGC